>NC_000006.12:102646547-102798062 GCF_000001405.40 Homo sapiens | reverse complement strand
AGGAGATCAGGGAATGATTTGAATAGATGTAAAGAAGAGTGGGTCTTAACACACACTCTCAAGGCAAAGAAACTATGTGTTAGTTGTGTGATGTGATAGTATAATTTACATAATATATAATTGATTTTTTTGAGTGTTGGGTTAAGAATAAAGGAGCTACATGTCCAAGGAGAAAGTGAAAAATGGTGTACTTGTATAAATCTATGACTCTTCAAAACATTATGTTTTCTAGTTCCTTAATAATTTATCACTCCATGAAATCAGAGGTGAAATGTAGCGATAGCAAAAGAAAACATGAAAAACTGTAATGTTTTATATGCCCTAGTTATGTTTATGTTTTGGGTAGGTGTCTTAGAAACAATATAAAGTGTTCTCTATGTAATAAATGAAATTGAAAACTTTAATGTTTACTTAATGGCATTATGTGACAAAAGTATTTCAAAACCAAAATATAAGTTTTGTATAATATAAATATTTCAATTAACAGAAATGTAGAATGATCGTATATACAACTATTGTTGCATACTTGTTGAACAATGAATCAAAACAGTTCAAAAATGAAGGAATTGTGATTAACAATTTTACAGAAGAGGGAACCAGCTGCAATTCTTTCATAAAATTTGTCTAATGGGTTTGTACCTTGCTACAGTTGAAAGATTTTGATCATCATTTATGACGATTACTATGGGGCTCTGAAGTAGTGTATTATAAAAGATAGTTAATACAAAAGATGACATTCCTCACTGTTGGCAGGTGTTCTCAAAGAACCTTCATGGCTATAGATGAATATCATAGTGAATGTTAATCTATCCTTTTTATCTGGGAGGGCAGCAGAGATGAATGGCTTTGCTTCTACCCCTTCATTCAGCCTTGGCACAAAATCACTCCATGAAGACTGTGAGTCTAAGTAGTCATCATCATGAGAGTTTTTTTTTTTCTTGATTCAGTGAACAGTGGGTATGAAAGATTTTCACAAAATAAATAATTTTTGGGAGTGCTAGAACTAATGATATATTTGCATTTTTTATAGTTTTCTATCAGAGACTTGCAGGATACATTCAAACACACGGATACACATATACACACATAAATATTGAAAGTAGATGACATTCCTTTTTTTAAAAAAATGTATTTCTGTAGGTTATTGGGGAATAGGTGGTGTTTGGTTTCATGAGTAAGTTCTTTAGCGGTGATTTGTGAGATTTTGGTGCACCCATCACCCGAACAGTATACACTGCACTGAATTTGTAGTCTTTTGTCTCTCACCCACTTCCTACCCTTTTCACTGGAGTCCCCAAAGTCCACTGTGTCATTCTTATGCCTTTGCATCCTCATAGCTTAGATCCCACTTATGAATGAGAACATACAATATTTGGTTTTCCCCTCTTGAGTTACTTCACTTGCAATAGCAGTCTCCAATCTCATCCAGGTTGCTGTGAATGCCATTAATTTATTCCTTTTTATGGCTGAGTAGTATTCTATTGTGTGTGTGTGTGTGTGTGTGTATACACACACACACACATATATAGGTATATGCATATATATATCATATATATATATGTATATAAAATATCACAGTTTCTTTATCCACTTGTTGATTGATGGGCTTTGGGTTGGTTCCACATTTTGCAATTGTGAATTGTGCTGCCATAAACATGTGTCTGCAAGTATCTTTTTCATATGATGACTTCTTATCCTCTGGGTAGAACCCAGTAGTGGTATTGCTGGATCAAATGGTAGTTCTACTTTTAGTTATTTAAGGAATCTCCACACTGGTTTTCTATAGTGGTTATACTAGTTTACATTCCCACCAGCAGTGTAGAACTGTTTCCTGTTCACCAAATTCATGTCAACATCTATTTTTTTTAACTTTTTGATTATGGCCATTCTTGCAGGAGTAAGGCAGTATCACCTTGTGATTTTGATTTACATTTCTCTGATCATTAATGATGTTGAGCATTTTTTGCATATGTTTGTTGGCCATTTGTATATCTTCTTTTGAGAATTGTCACGTCATGTTATTAACCCACTTTTTGACGGGGTTATTTGTTTTTTTTTGTTGTTGTTGTTGTTGTTAATTTGTTTGAAAGAAATCATAGACAACACAAACAAATGAAAACACATCCCATGCTCATGAATGAGTAGAATCAATATTGTGAAAATAACCATACTGCCAAAAGCAAACTACAAATTCAATGCAATTCCCATCAAAATACCACTACCATTCTTCACAGAACTAGAAAAAAAAATCCTAAAATTCATATGAATCCAAAAAAGACCCCGCATAGCCAAAGCAAGACTAAGCAAAAAGAACAAATCTGGAGGCATCACATTACCTGATTTCAAGCTATACTATAAGGTCATAGTCCCCAAAACAGCATGGTACTGGTCTAAAAATAGGCACATAGACTAATGTAACAGAGCAGAGAACCCCAGAATAAACCCAAATACTTGTAGCCAACTGATCTTTGGCAAAGCAAACAAAAATGTAAAGTGGGGAAAGAACACGCTTTTAATAAATGGTGCTGGGATAATTGGCAAGCCACATGTAAGAGAATGAAACTGGATCCTCATCTTTCACATTATACAAAAATCAACTCAATATGGATAAAGGACCTAAATCTAAGATTTAAAATTATAAAAATTCTAGGAGATAACATTGGAAAAACCCTTCTAGATATTGGCTTAGGCAAGGATTTCATCACCAAGAACCCAAAAGCAAATGCAATAAAAGCAAAGATAAATAGCTGGGACTTAATTAAACTAAAGAGCTTTTGTAGGGCAAAAGGAACAGTCAGTAAAGTAAACAGACAACCCATACAGTGGGAGAAAATCTTCACAATCTATACATCTGACAAAGGACTAAGATCCAAAAAATAGATGACATTCCTGTTGAAGATTTTTCGAAGAAGTGAAAGAGCAAAGGAATCCACAGAAGAAGTTAGCTCACATATCTCAGATGCTCAATTTATCACTGTCAATACAGATACATATCTAATCTTCCCCTGTCCCCCCTCCTCTCTGGGCTCAAAGAAACAACTTTACCTCCCTTTATGAAAAGTAGACGTGTTTATTCACTTTTGACTCTAACTTCCTGCAACTTCTAAGAATGTTACTAACACATTTACTATCTGCCTCTTTCAGTAGGGAGTATCTGTAGATGTAGAATTTCTGGGGACAAGTGTATACATTGTAAAATTATTTTTGTATATGTTATCAATTGCCTTCTAAAAGATTGACATTTTGCTATCTCAAAATTAATCCATGAATGTAGCCTTTTGGGACGTATTTTTATTTTCATAATAAATATTATTAAATGTACACTGTGTAAATAATTTAAAAGCAGTCATCTCATTATACTTCTAAATTATATTTATCTTACTACAATGATTTAAATAATTTTCACATTTTTTTGTGAATTGCTTTTACATACTCCCTTTCTTTACTTATTTCAAGGAGTACTTTATGTAAGAATCTTTACAACCATTTATTATATATACATATATATAAGTATATATGTTCCTAGCCTATTATATATATTTTAGTTTAGTTTATGATCTGCTTTAGGATAATTTTTTTCATAATTTTTTTCACTATATAGTATCAAAATATTTTATTTAATAGATGGAATTATTGGAAGAATAGACACTGCAGAAATAAAGATCAATGAACTTTAATATGTATCAATACAAACTATCCAAATTGAAGAACATAGAGAGAAAAGACTAAAATAAATGGCCACAGCCTCATTTACCTTGGGAAAATTATCAAGTGGTCTAACATGTACAATTGCAGAACTAAGAGGAAAGAAGGGGTAGAACAAAAAACATATTGAAGGATAATGTTTTTTTTTAAATATGATGAAAGCTATAAATATATCAATGAACTTATTAAAAACCAGCAAGAAGAGGAGCATCTGAAAAGTAGCTATGAGGTGGAAATTTACAGACAAACTAAAAACAACAGAGACAAAATGACTACATTCAAGAGGGACAAAATGACTACATTTTTCTCATTAGGAATTATGTAAAATTATAGGCAATAGAATGCCATACTCAAGTGTTAAAAGTAAAACAAATAAACAAAAATCTGCCAAATTAAAAATGTACATTCAGCAAAATATTACAAAAATGACAGTGAAATATTTTAAAAATAAATAGAACAGAATGTTTAATTTGCTACTAAACTTTATTTTAGTATGATATTGTTTTTATAATCTAAACGTTTCTCATGAAAACATTTGTTTTTTAAACATATTTCCAAGTTTGTAAAATTTCTGATAATAAGAATTTAGTCATTTTGTTGCTATTACTCTTTACATAACCTTCTCCCAATGGTCTTAACCAATTGCAGATCTATTATATTATTTTTGTATACTTTACAAAAAATATGTGCTTACATAAACATATTTTAGGGCCTTCCAAGGATGATAGAAGGATATGATAAAAATGCAGGCCTCTAGCTTAAGATCCATTTGTTTCACATTATATATTTTTTAAATTATTTGCTGTTTTATGTGGCCTACCAGAAGTTATCTATTTACATAATTATCTTCATTATAAGACAGATGCTTTAAATATACCTAATTAAGTACTATATTGAAAGAGAGGAAATGCAAAAACTTCTCTCTTTAATTCCAAAAATATGTTTTATATTTTCTATATTTAAAAAAGTAAAGGATAACAAGTTTACATTGTACACCTTTATGTAATTTCACTCTATGCCACTTTCTGTAGAATCCTCATTAAACTTCTTTAAACCATTCTAGAGATCCTTATGTTTCTCTTGATAGATAGCTAGATGAATAGCTAGCTAGATAGATAGACAGATAGGCAGATACAGCTATATAGATATATGTATGTGTGTATATATATATGTGTATATGTGTATATGTGCATATGTGTATGTCCATACGTGTTTATACATGTTTATATACCTTTTTAAATTTTCCCCAAAATTACCTACTCACTGAATACATTTTTCTTTACATTTTTTTGCTTATTTATTCTTAATTTCTTATTTTTTTCAGTAGGAGGTGTACGGTAGAGCTCCATTAGTTATATATTGAATAACCAGCGTTGTGTACAGAAGGACTGATACAGTCATTCTAATTTCAGAGGAAATACAGGCACTTGACAGCATTTTCCTTGATTATAGAAGGCTATTCTAAGGATTTTATTATTGGAGTTTTAGAAGAAAATGATAATAATAGAAAGTGATAAGACCAAATAAGTGAGACTGCCCAGAAACAGTCACTTGATAAAGATAAAGTAGGGAGGGGAACTTCTGTGTTTGTTTACTATCTGCTCTTTTTCTCTTCACTGGCTGTTCTGCCTCCAGAAGACATCCTATCATCAATCTTGAATCAATTACTTAAGGAAGTACTTGGGAATAAAGTGATTAGTGGGCAAAGAGGTTACAGAGAAAAGAAGGATTATAATCCAAATAGATGTGTAAAGCAGGAAGCGGGAAAAGAAGAAAATAATATTTCCCTTTTCTTATTTTCTAAGAAGAAAAGGGAAATATTAGGAAAGGTTTCAAGAGAATCTAGCTGGGAAAACTGACCTAAAGAAAGAAGATTAGATTCCAGGTATCTTTAATTTGGAGACAAACTGCATTTAGTAAATAAGTATAATTTTTGCTCTACCACATCCTCCCTATCAGAGACTTTACCAGCTAAACTTGCTGTGACTGTAGTTAGTTCTAGCTATATATTGATAAAGATGCTATAAAAGCTTAGTCCACATGATACATTAAAATTCCCACAGCATTTTAATGCAGATATGAAGTTAAAAATATTTATAGGAAAGTTTAAAAAATGACTTTAAAAATAGCAATTAATAATGTTATAAAAATAGGGGCAGAGAAAACTAAACTCTCACATCATTTGGGTTTGTGTTCTATCACTGAATCATTTTTCTAGTAGAAAATATTTTGTTGATCTGATAACACAAACGTGCTTATTATCATGTCTCACTGATACTCAAAAGTTTTGTCACATTGTTAAACAGTTTAGGAAATATTGTGCAGATGGAATGTATTTACACTAAACATACCCTCAAATACTAATTTTTATTTCTGAATAAAAATACTAGTCTGATAAACTTGACACTGGATACTTTATTGGTAATGAGTCTCAAAATAGTAAGTTAAAAATGCTTAAGAACATTCTATATCTGTGAAAGGCAGATTCAACATAAATGGCTCTGTTTCTCCATATATTTTTTACTTAAATATTTTTTTCTTGATTTTTTTTTTTTTTTTTTGAGACAGGGTTTTGCTCTTGTTGCCCAGGCTGGAGTGCAATGGCACCATCTTGGCTCACTGCCACCTCCACCTCCCAGGTTCAAGCGATTCTTCTGTCTCAGCCTCCCAGGTAGCTGGGATTACAGGCACCTGTCACCACACCCAGCTAATTTTTTGTATTTTTAGTAGAGATGGGGTTCACCATGTTGGCCAGGCTGGCCTTGAACTCCTGACCTCAGGTGATCCACTCTCCTCGGCTTCCCACAGTGCTGGGATTACAGGCCTGAGCCACCACCCCCAGCCTTTTGAATGTTTTATATTTCAAGAAGATAGCATTTTTAAAAAGTTCCCTCATATCAATATCCTAATCATTTTTATGTCATTCACTAAAAATATATTATATTTGTAAATATCTAATTTCTAGTCTGCTACCAATGTACTCTTAAAAAGTTCTATTGCACTAGTTTTTAATCATTATACATTATTTTATTTCATATCCTTGCCTGCTTTAGCTATTTTCCATCATTTTCATTTTAGCCATTATAGTATGTGTAGAGAAGTATCTCATTGGTGTTTTAATTTGCATCTTGAAAATTAAAAAAATTGACCACTTTTTCCTATATATATTGTCTATTTGTATATATATTTTTGTAAAATGTCTTTCTAATTTTTTGCCAATATTTTCATTTCTCCCATCCTTCTTCATGTTTTCCTTAGCCTTAGGAATGTACTCTGAGACAAGTTTTTTTTTGTCAGATATGTATATTACAAATGTTTTCTCCCACTCTATGATTATAGTTTCTGGAGTTTTTATTTTTTTTCTTCTTTGATGAACGGAAGTTTTTAAATATTAATCTGTACAACGTATCATTTTTAATAGATACTGTTTTTTGTTTATTTGTAGTCTTTGCTTACTCCAAAGTCAAGAATATGTATATTTTTGTTAAAAATATTATTTCAATCTGTCTGAAATTGAGCTTTGTTAATGGTGTGGGGCAGAAATTAAGATTTATTTTATTTACAATTGATCCTATATCTTGTGTTGGAAAAGACCATCTTTTCCTAAATATACTGCTCTATCATCTTTGGAATAAATCAGTTGGTACTGTGTATGGTTAGGTGAGGGTGATGAGTTGGAGGAAGATATTTTGAACTTACATATTATGATATATTTATGAATTTATTATCTTGCAACAAAATACAGTTTTCATTACTGAATTTTAAAAATAGGACTTGCATTCTACTATCTATCTATCTATCTATTTATTTATTTAGAAACACAGTTTCGCTCTTGTTGCTCGGGCTGGAGTGCAATGACGTGATCTAGGCTCACCGCAACCTACGCCTCCCGGGTTCAAGCGATTCTCCTGCCTCAGCCTCCTGAGCAGCTGGGATTACAGGCATGCACCACCACACACGGCTAATTTTGTATTTTTAGTAGAGATGGGGTTTCTCCATGTTGGTCAGACTGGTCTCCAACTCCCAACCTCAGGTGATCTACCTGCCTCGGACTCCCAAAATGCTGGGATTACAGGAGGTAGCCCAGCCAAGTTCTATTTTAAGCCCTAAATTTATTGTTCGTCTTCATTATTTTCTTGGATTTTCTCGATCTTTGCATTTTTACACTAATTGTAAAATGAGTTTATAATTTTAGATATTTGACTTAATTCTAGTATAATTATTAGGTGCTTTAAAAAATTTTACATATTTTTGTCTATTGATATATAAATTTACATATTTGAGGGTATGTGAGTGTGTTACATGCATAGATATACCACATGCTCTTAACTCCTATGTGAGAGCTGAAAATATTCTATATATTTTTAACTCCTCATTTCATGTTGAAATACTGTGTCTTTTAATCCATTTTGTGCCTCATAGAAACTTTGGTTCTAGCTCTTTAGCGTCCTGCACAGCCTTTGAATTCAACAAAAGTACTGTTGAAAAACCATTCGTGTATTTGAAACACTTCTACTTGTATTTTTTTTATCACTCTAGGCTTACAAACCTCTAATAGGCTTCATATCTTTACTTCTTCTAGCAGCATTTTATTTGCTGGCCAAATTTCTGTTCATAGCCCAGGGGAAGAATTGCCAAATGATCCCAGAAAACAAAGCAAATAAAAACGAATGTCTACCTGTTATCATTTCATCTCTTACTAGAACTTCCCTCCGTGAAATTTTAGTGCATCTTTCACAAGTTGCTAATGGCTTTAAATATATAATTTAATAAGTCCCCCTACTTTTTCCAGTGCTCAGCAAAAGCATTGGCCTATTGCTTCCTATAACATAGTATATGAAAGAAATTCTAATCTTTTTGATAACTTTTGAAATGATTATATAAAGATTTGAATGTTTCTCTCCTTACTAAATTATGATCTTACTTTTACATTTATGAAACATTCATGTATATGCTTAAAGTAAGATAAACAAAATTTATATATAAAGATTTAAAATACAATAGTCATGATATTAAAGCTTGAGCACTGGAATTTGACAGAAGCATAAATTTATGATGGAAATACATTATTAAAATGCTACACATTTTACACCCTTATTGGTTTTACACACTCATTTTTGTTTTAAACAATTTTAAGGATAAAAAATGTCACTGTGAGTCATATTATTAACCACTCTGTGTGAAAATTTTGTTTTGTCTAAAATGGAACATTGTCTTGGAAAATATGAATCCTACTATTCCCAAAATAAGAATTCCTATATTTCTTAAAATACCTCAAGTAAATATATAACTATAACTACATATATTGTATGACATGGGACTACTCAGTTTTTCAGATACATGTTCTAATTTGATATGACACATATATGCAATTGTACTTTGTTTTTCTTTTCTCTACGTATCTGTTCAACAAGCAAAACATTGTAGCAATATTTATTCTTTTTCTGTAGAGAGTAAAATATCTTACTATGTACTATGTCCTTTAAAAATCTTAGCTGAAATAACTGTTAATTATAGAAGTGAAATAGACTTAATTATAATTAATTCATTGCTTAAGTACTTTAAATTCTATTTTATGTTTGGCAACACTAACAAAAAGGTATCAACTTAAAATTGTATTGCATTATTTTCTTGAAAAATCACCGTCTTTTGTATTATATATTTTTAGGATTATTATTTTAGCAAAGTGTCTTATAAGAGAAAATGATTGAAATTATTTAATTGTTATATATTAGACTTATGAATTAGGAGGTTTTTTATATAAACTTGATCACAATATTTGTTTAAATATTTTGTTTAATATAATGAAAGTTTGCATATAGCACTTCTGTCGTGCCAAAATACCATGGTGTCTCAAGAAAAAGCGCTATTGTGATTGCTTTAGTTCCGACAGAACTAGCTGTCCTTCACATAGAACATCATTTTTACTTGAAAGAATCACTGACAGACAAACTATGGTTGTTCAGACTTGGGTATTAAGCGATCAGTTTTTGCAAATGAATAAATTGTTATTCTAAGAAAAATAATTAATGACTGTACATTTCGCCAAAGGCAAAACTTGAGTTAAAAAAAATTTGAGGCTGGGCGTGGCGGCTCACGCCTGTAATCCCAGCACTTTGGGAGGCCAAGGCGGGCAGGTCAGGAGGTCAGGAAATCGAGACCATCCTGGCTAAAACAGTGAAACCCCATCTCTACTAAAAATATAAAAAATTAGTCTGGCGTGGTGGCAGGCGCCTGTAGTCCCAGCCACTCGGGAGGCTGAGGCAGGAGAATGGCATGAACCCGGGAGGTGGAGCTTGCAGTGTGAGATCGCAAGCCACTGCACTCCAGCCTGGGTGACGGAGAGAGACTCCGTCTAAAAAAAAAAAAAAAATTGAAAACTGCTACTATGAACTTATGAGATTCTGGATAATTAAAGACTATACTGAAAAAATTGGTGGTGATCTTGATAAACGTTATTTTTGATTTGTATGCTGACCTGCATACACTTGTGGAAGAGCCACAGAACAGTCTGAACTAATATTTTCCAAGTGATAAAAATATGATGTTTCAAAATTATATGAATAAAAGATCAATTTAATGTGCAAGATAGACAAATAGACTACAGTATAACAGATTATATATTGTCATTGATATGGTTTCAGTTTCCATATCACAGAAAAGTAAAAAATATCACTTATTGAGTTCTGGTGTACTGTCTAAGAAAAATATTCACAATTATCTGAAAACTCCATTAAATGTTCCTTCCTTTTCTATGTAGATATATGAATTAAGCTATGTTTTCATCATGTAAATAAACCAAAACAACATATTTTAAAAGATTGAGTGCACAAGAAGATTTTAGAAATTTACTGTTATTAAGCCAGAAATTAAAGATTTGCAAAGTCATTAAAAATCATCACTTTTCCATTAATGTTTGTTTTCAAAAATAATTGTTTCTTTGCAAAAATGTTATTTCTGTTTTTTATTTTTAAACTTTTTATTTAAAATATTCTGACCAAAATAAAATTGAACAAGATTATAATATTATTCAAATATTCATTTGGTATACCACATGCTATGTATATAATTTTTACTTTTCTATTAAAAATAGATTTAAAAATTTTTAAAGCAGATAGGTGCTGTAAATACAGAAGTGGCCAAAATATAGTCCTTGTGATATGGTTTGGCTGTGTCCCCACCCAACTCTCATCTTGAATTGTAGCTCCCATAATTCCTTCAAGTTGTTGGAGAGACCCAGTGGAAGATAATTGAATCATGGGACGGTTTCCCCCATACTGTTTTCTTGGTAGTGAGTAAGTCTCATGAGATCTGATGGTTTTATAAAGGGAAACTCCTTTTGCCTGACTCTCATTCTCTTCTCTTGTCTGCCGCCATGTGAGGCGTGCCTTTCACTTTCCACCATGATTGTAAGACCTCCCCAGCTACGGAACCATGAGTCCATTAAACCTCTTTCTTGCAGGGCGTAGTGACTCATGCTTGTTATCCCAGCACTTTGGGAGGCTGAGACAGGTGGATCACTTGAGGTCAGGAGTTTGAGACCAGCCTGGCCAACATGGCGAAACCCCATCTCTACTGAAAATACAAAAATTAGCCGGGCATGGTGGCCCATGGCTGTAATCCCAACTACTCAGGAGGCTGAGGCAAGAGAATCGCTTGGACCTGGGAGATAGAGGTTACAGTCAGCCAAGATCGAGGCACTGCATTCCATCCTGGGTGATAGAGTGAGACTCTGTCTCAAAAAAACAAAAAACAAACAAACAAAAAATCTTTCTTTTGTAAATTGCCCAGTTTTGGGTATGTCTTCATCAGCAGTGTGAAAACAGACTAATATATCTTGCCTTCATAAGTGTTTGCAGTTTAGTAAAGGAACTAAATGACCAAGCAATAAGCAATAAAAATGGTATTGTAAGTGCTTAGGAGCACATTTAATAATTTGTTATTGCTATTTTACGTGCATTAATAAATCTTTGTTTTTAATTGTTTAAGTTTTATATTTTAATATGATAAATATCAACAGATATAAGACACAAAAACAAAAGGTTGTTGGGGTCCACACTAATTATTAAGAGTATAAAAGTGTCCTGAGATCAGAGCGTTTGAGAACAATCATGGGAATAAATTAGTAAATGTCTTAGTTCATTTTGTGTTGCTATAACAGAATACCTGAGACTGGGTAAATTATTAATATAAACAAAAAAATAAGTTTATTTGGCTCATGATTCTGGTGGCTGGAAGTTTCAAGATTGGGCAGGTGTATCTGGCGAGGGTCTCATCCTGCCTCCACTCATGACAAAAAGCAGAAGGTGAATGGAAATGTGAACAAAGATTATATGGAGGAGAGAAAGGAAGAAAGAGAAACTAAGGAAGCAGGACTCTTATTTCTGTTAGCTCTTGAGTAAACTAATTTATTCCACCAGTGGGAGAGTATTAACCTATTCAAGAGGGATCCTTCCGCATGACTCAAGCAACTTCCCCTAGGTCCCAACTTCCAGCTCTGCCACATTGGGCATCAAATTTCAATATGAGTTTCAGAGAGAACAAACCATATTGAAACCATAGCAGTAAATAATAGAAAAAGTAATCACAATATTTTAATTGGCCCATGCAGCACAAAATTGAAGAGCAAAAGACCTAACCTCATAGAGTTATTGTGAGGATTAGATGAATTAATGCACATACAGTTCTATAAACAGGACTGTCACATAAGTACTATATGCATGCTATGAATCCTTGCTGTTATATTATGACTTGTTTCCTGGAAAGTGTTCAAACACTGTTTACAATGATATGGAATAAAAATTTTAAAATTTTCAACATTAAAAAAATTATCTGGTATTTGACTACCTCAATTCAATTCAGAACTTTGCTTGGCAGATTATCTTGAGGACTCAGTTTAGTGAATATAATAGTAATCACTCCTGAGTTGCTATAGAAGGAGTAGTCTAGGCATATAGTAAGTGCTTAAAAATTAATTAGCTGTTATTATTTTGCATACTGTTAGTAGCTGTTTTTCTGTTGCTAGGTCTGGTCTACACTCACCCTAAATCACACGACCTTAGTTTAAGAGGGGAATTACATGAAAACTTTAAGGTTTTGTTAGAAAAGAGGAAAGAAAAAATGAATGCTAAATTGTCTACTAAAAGTGAGAACTACATATTTAAGTTCACATATAAGACTTCTGAAATTACTAAAACTAACCATTTTTTGCTCATGACCTATTTAATCATTTAAAATTATCCATTTTTTTCTCTCCAAATTATATGTACCTTGTCTTTGAGGCCAGATATGAAATAACATCTAGAAGAATATTTGATTTTTCATTTCTTAACAGACATAAGCAATGCCATGTTAACATTTGTCTCTAAAGTCACAATATAGAAGGATACTTTACAGAGCATGATCTTTGTAGTTATAGATGGAAACTTCTGAAAGCAAATTAGGTTAAATGGGGGAGTCCATGTATTAGTCCATTTTCATGCTGCTGATAAAGACATACCTGAGACTGGGCATTTTACAAAAGAAAAAGGTTTATTTGACTTACAGTTCCACATGGCTGAGGAGGTCTCACAATCATGGTGGAAAGCAAGGAGGAGCAAGTCACACCTTATGTGGATGGCTGCAGGCAAAAAAAAGAGCTTGTGCAGAGAAGCTCCTTTTTCTAAAACCATCAAATCTTTTGAGACTCATTCAGTATCATGAGAACAGCACAAGAAAGACCCCCCACCTCATGATTCAGTCATCTCCCATGGGGTCGCTCCCACAACAAGTGAGAATTATGGAAGCTAAAATGTGAGATTTTGGTGGGGACACAGAGCCAAACCATATTATCCCACCACTCTCCCCTCCCAAATTTAATATCTTCACATTTCAAAACCAAACACGCCTTCCCAATAGTCCCCCAAAGTCTCAACTCATTTCAGCATTAACTCAAAAGTCCACAATCCAAAGTCTCATTCAAGACAAGGCAAGTCTCTTCTGCCTATGAGCCTATAAAATCGAAAGCAAGTTAGTTACTTCCTAGATTCAATGGGGGTACAGGCATTTGGTAAATACAGCCATTCCAAATGGGAGAAATTGGCCAAAACAAAGGGGCTATAGGCCCCATGAAAATCCAAAATCCAGCAGGGCAGTCACATCTTAAAGCTTCAGAATGATTTCCTTTGACTCTGTGTCTCACATCCAGGTCACTCTTACACAAGATGTGGGTTCCCATGGTCTTGGGCAGCTCCACCCCTGTGGCTTTGTAGGATGTGCTTTGTACATCCTCCCACTGGGCTGCTTTCACTGGCTGGTATTGAGTGGCTGTGGCTTTTCCAGGTGCATGGTGCAAGCTGTCAGTGGATCTACCATTCTGGGGTCTGGAGGATGGTGCCCGTCTTCTCACAGCTCCACTAGGAAGTGCCCCAGTAGGGACTCTGTGTGGGGGCTCCAACCCCACATTTCCCTTCTGCTCTGCCTAGCAGAGGTTCTCAATAAGGGCTCTGCCCCTGCAGCAAACTTCTGCCTGGGCATCCAGGCATTTCCATACGTCTTCTGAAATCTAAGCAGAGGTTCCCAAACCCCAATTCTTGACTTCTGTGCACTTGCAGGTGCAACATCACATGGAAGCTGCCACAACCTGAGACTTGAACCCCCTGAAGCCACAGTCTGAGCTCTACATTGGCCCCTTTTAGTCACAACTAGAGCAGCTGAGATGCAGGGCACCAACTCCCTAGGCTGCATAGAGCGTGGGGACTCTTGGCCCAGCCCACAAAATCAAACTGCTTTTTCCTCCTAGGCCTCCAGGTCTGTGATGGGAGGGGCTGCCACAATGGTCTCTGACATGCCCTGGAGACATTTTTCCTGTCTTCTTGGGGATTAACATTGGGCTCCTTGTTACTTATGCAAATTTCTGCAGCCCGCTTGAATTTATCCCCAGAAAATGGGATTTGATTTTTTTTTCTATCACAATGTCAGGCTGCAAATTTTCCAAACTTTTATGCTGTTTCCCTTTTAAAACTAAATGCCTTTAACAGCACCCAAGTCAACTTTTGAATGCTTTGCTGCTTAGAAATTTATTCTGCCAGATACCCTAAATTATCTCTCTCAAGTTCAGAGTTCCACAAATCTCTAGGGCAGGGGGAAAATGCTGCCAGCCTCTTTGCTAAAACGTAAAAAGAGTCACCTTTATTCCAGTTCTCCAAAACTTCCTAATCTCCATCTGAGAATACCTCAGTGCAGATTTCATTGTCCATATCATTATCAGTATTCTTGTCAAAGCCTTTCAACAAGTCTCTAGGGAGTTCCAAACTTTTCCACATTTCTTGTCTTCTTCTGAGCCCTCCAAACTGTTCCAACCTCTGCCTGCTACTCAGTTCCAAAGTCGCTTCCACATTTTCAGTTATCTTTTCGGCAACACCCAACTCTTCTGGTACCAATTTACTCCATTAGCCCATTTTCACACCGCTGATAAAGACATTCCTGAGATTGGGCAATTTACAAAATAAAGAGGTTTATTGGACTTACAGTTCCACATGGCTGAGGAGGCCTCAAAATCATGGTGGAAGGCAAGGAGGAGCAAGTCACATCTTACGTGGATGGCAGCAGGCAAAAAAGAGCTTGTGCAGAGAAACTCCAGTTTTTAAAACCATCAGATCTCATGAAACCCATTCACTATCATAAGAATAGCAGGGGAACAAATCACCCCCATGATTCAATCATCTTCCACCCGGTCTTTTCCACAATATGTATGAATTATGGGAGCCACAGTATGAGATTTTGGTGGGGACACAGAGCCAAACCGTATTACTCCAGTAGTTATCTAACTGCCAGCTTCATATATTAACTAGGAATTTGTAATTTTATGTCAATTAATAACAGAATAAAATTAAAGAATGGAAAAGTTATCACATGCATTCATATGCTTCCTAATTCAGCACTAAGCCAGCAACTGTAAGGTAGAAAACAAGTTTTAAAATGTATAATCAATCAGAAATGATGAGTCTATCTCTTACTCCAATAAAATCCCAATTTGGTATTCTGAATCAGAGGTTGTTTCTTCTCCAAGCAGTAATTTGAGCACCCAGTTTCTTTTTACGGTTCAGTCAATGAAGATACACCTTCGTGAGAAAACATTTTAAATGGTCCATTTTCAAGGCATGATAAATCTAAGTACGGGCAGCTAGCCTGCAAATGTAACAAACTGCACGGCTCATGCACCTAGAAGGTCACAATAAACAAATGGAATGTAGAGGAGGGGTCAGCCCATAAAAGGGAAGAAAGTTTTGTTGTTGGGAGATCAAAACTTAGGCAGGGAAGGAGATGGAATATAACCTTCTAAGGGAGATAATGAAACTTAGGTAACATCCAGGAAGATTGTAACCCCACAGTACTTGACCAATGAGGAACTAGGGGAGGGACTTGCATGATAGGAGATAAACTACCTGTTGTGACTTCTCCAGATGTTCCTACTCACCAGACACCTGATCTTGCAAAATCATTATTTAATAGTTTCACTTTTGCTGTTCTTCATGCCTCTAAATCCATTCTTTGGGTTTGGACGAGTGAGTGTGTTTCTCACTTTTTGTCTTGTGGATCGGCACCTATACAGTGGCAAGAAAAGAGCACAGAGATCATCCATAGGACAATTTTATGAAGTGGGTTACATGATCTCTGCTGATATTGCACCATTTCAAATTTTGACATATTCCTGCATTTACTAAAGTAAGGCTGGGAAAGTAGTCTAGTTGTGGGTCAATGATAAGGGAAAACAAAATTGTTACAACAATGATAAAAATTGACCCTTAACTAGGTGAAATCAGGAAAACAGCCCCATGACTACCAGCCTTACACAATTTCTTAACATTTTTACTCACTTTGAGCAACTTAGTGTGTACTTTGGGATGAGGTCATATCCTTGGCATAAAAAATGGTATTGGTGGCAGAAAATTCTAATGTCTGTGTAACAATATTAATACCTGCCTCAGGCTAAAACCTTACTTTTATAAACCAATGAGAGTAATTGGCTGTGAAGAATAAAGTGAGATTTAGTCAAGCTGTCCTCATTCAAATACTAAAACTGAACTGTGATCTCAATTTTGATTTATCAAATGATCTTTTCAGTTTATATCACTGTTTTTATAGGTGACAATTTTATAAAATGTGCTACAGGCTCACAGTTTAATGATATACTTGTAGAAATAAAAAAAGATGAAGTAAAATACATTTCAAGAGTAATAATACTAATGTAATTTTTGAATGTGCAGTACTGTATTATTGTTTTATTTAAATCATGAATTGTAGGGTTCTCTGACCTGAAAATTTGCTATCCAATATATTTTTAAGATTAGAGAAGAAAGTAAAGGATTATCTGTAGCATATAACTATATCAACTTGTTTTTTTAATTGAAAATTTAATTTATATGTGTTTTCTTAAAGATTTTATTTTTTAACCACTTTCTATAATTTAATTTTTAAGCATATACCATATTTTATCTAACCAGTTTGTTTACAATATTCTTCTATCATCAACATTTGCAATAAAAATTATCTCTATCATCTATCTATCTATCTATCTATCTATCTATCTATCTATCTATCTATCTAACATCTATCTATCATACACTTATTACTGGAGCTTAGGAATTAGGCCTAATTAAGCAGCTTAACTCCTGCTCAAATAGAATAGGAAAATCTTGTTTTATTTCTTAAATAATTACAGCATTTTTAATCTGGTTAATATTGACAATGCTACTCTTTCCAAAAATACATAGATTCTGATCTAGTTGTTCTATGTTGTCCTATGTGTCAATAATACCCTTAATTTAAATTTTGCCCTGAAACACTTAAATTAGTTAGAGGTTTTAATCTGTTAAAGTCCTTCCGTAATTCCTTCTCTTATGATTCTAAGACCCAGGCTTATTTGTATTTTTTTTTTTTGATATTGTAAAGACCCCAAATTCTAGATTACCTCTATTATCTGTAACTCCTGCTTACAAACTGGCCAGTGCTTTCCTCCTTTCGTCTTTCTTACATCTTCCAGTACCATCCAATAATAGAAAGCATTTACCTACTCTTTACTGTTTTTTCAAATCTTTTCCCTCAGAGCTACAACCACAGTCGTTGCTTTATAAGTTAGAGCAGATCAAATCTTGCCACATGTTTTAGCATTAAATGATATGAATGTATAGCCTCTAATGGCTTCCTGCTGCCCAATCTCAAAACTGATGCCACCTCCTGTAGAATTGTTTTGGCAGTGCACCATTTCAGGAACCAATGTCGATCACAGTTAGAGTCCATATGCTCAGCAAATGAATTCTATGCTGTGAATGTTGTTTGTGTGCCTCCAGATTCATGCCTGCACACTCATTCTCTCAGCTGTCAGGTGTGTTGTTGGCTGGGTCCCTCCCTAGGAATTGACCTTTTCCAAAGGGGACTGCCTTATTTAAGTTTACATAAAATAACCCAGGGAAAGCCCATGTTTAAATACTTACTCCTCATGGAAGTGTAGGGTTAAAAGGCCTGGCCCCCTTCCTCAATCTGGGATAACACTGGAGGACAATCACAGCTTCATACCCCCAAACCCCTGCCAGGAGATTAGCTGAGGGCCTTGTTGTGCTTAGGGTTTTCATTTTTGTGTTATTTTAAAATATAAAAATAATATGTTTGTAATACAACTTATTCTCTTGTCATACTTATTTTGGGAATTTTGCAAAGCAATTATTTATTTTTAAAATAAGGAAAGATAACTTTAAATAGGATCTCTGAAAGTAGATAATTGTCCTTCATAATGAAAAACAAAAATGCAAGGTACTTTATTTATGCATAATATGGAATTTTACCATAATCATAATATAAATGTTGTGTGATAAGATTATATTAATAGCAGCAATATAAAGAAAACTACATATAATCACACTTCAGTTTATAAAATATATATTAAAGAACTGTATTACAGAAAACTAATAAGTTACTGATGTAGGACTACACCATTTTTATTTCTCTTTGGTGCACCCGAGGTTGGAAGGATGTTTTATTGCCTGGATTTATCAGATAAATATTTTGTAAAAGAGCCACAATATTGGCAATACCTATTGCTTTGAAAAATTTTATTTCCAATTCCTACAAGTCATTAATATTTTGTCTGTACCATGTATTTATTTTTTCTTCAATTTTAACAATAATTGAAAAATTATTTAAAAATTCCTAAATAGTGGCAAAAACTCAAAAAAAATTTAAGCTGAAGAGTCAAAGGTTTGAATCAAATTTACATACAATGAAAATATTAAGAGTTTAATATTGCATTTTAAGTAATGGAATTTAGTGTGCATTTACTGTGTGTCAGATTTTGCTTTAATCACTCTGGGCATACGTTTGTGTGTGTGTGTGCGCTCGTGAGTGTGTGTGTCTATGTTTGTATGAATGTGTGTAATCTCAATTACTTTAACAATTCTAAGGGGAATATGCTCTTATTATCCTTTCAATCCAGAAAAGTAATCTGAGTAAGAGGTAGGTTAACCAACTGGACCATGGTGATGCAGGTAGTAACTGGTGAAGCAAGGGTTCGAAATCAGCCAGTCTAAGGGGAGAATGTATTATTCTATCTACATGTCTGCCATTTCTCAAAAGCTCTCAAAGTGTCAGCTACAAAATTAAGTAGATTATATATATATTATGTCATTTAATTTTCATTAACACAACATGACATATATATATAATTACCCTTATTTTACAGAGGAGATTACTGAAGCTTAGAGAGTTCCTGTAATTTTTGAAATGGCTGACACCTACATAGTGCATAGTTGGGATATAAAACCAAAGCTGTTAGACTAGGCCACTGTGTCAGGTAGTAAAGGAGGCTAATGATTCCTTAGCATATTTTTCTGCTAAAGGAGAAAAGGATGTTTAATGAAATTTAACTCATGCTGAAACAGTTCATATTCTATTAAGCAGAAGAAAATCAATGTGTGTGAGCTATTACTTCCACTGGTTTTCACTGTAATGCTGTATTCATGACTCCTATAGGCTCCTGGTTATGAAGAATATCCAATGCCATAAAGTATCTTTCCTCTGCCATTGACACTCTGGACTTTGGCAGAGCAGACACAGGAAAAATATGTACCTTGCCATGTTTTATTTTTGTCAGAAAGCTATCAACAAGTCCAGCTGCCTACTACTGTCACTAACCTGAAGTCTGCAGGCTTGCAGAAAAGTGACACGTGGAGATATTTACATATCCCTAAACCATACTCTCTGCTATCATCTAACTGCCAAATACACAGTTGATAGGGACTTTAAATAATTCCTAGGCTACTTATCCATTTCAAATATGTCTGTCTTACATGCCCTGGTATGTCAGTTTGCTTGGGATTTATGTCTGAATTATGTCTGTTTAAAATTTTGGCACAAAGAAAATGCTCCAACAGTTTTAATGGTATGTTTATATCGAAATTATTCTCTTCATAATTTCCACTCATTTAGACAACCTATTATTGAAATGGAGAATAGTATTTATGTTTTCATTAGGGCTTTGCTTCTTAATTGTTTTGTTGATTTTAAAGAGATAATTATTGAACATTTTAGAACATACAAAGGAAAGAAAGGTACATAGTGAACAGTGAACGCAAGCCTTGTCCTCCCTGGTCACCCAGTTACCTTCTTCCTCATCATATGTCCCTTTTGAGAGCTATTCATATACATATGAATATGGGTGGGTTTGCATCACTATTGTTTTACACATATGGTAGCGTATTCTACTCAATGTTCTGCAAATCACAGCAATCTTCCCATATCAGTACATATATGCATGTTTTTAATTATAGACCTTATGACAGGTAATGCTTAGATCGTTAATTGATATTCTATAACTGTACTTGTGTGCCACCTATATGTGTGCCATCTACAACTCTTATGCTAAAAAGCTTTATTTTCTTTCTATGATCTGAAGTAACTTACATCAGGAAAATGAGGAAGTCAATAAACTTCAGTGGAAAGAATTACACCTATATTTGTACTAATCTAAAATTCACTATTTCATTATGAATGTAGGCAATGAACTGCAGTAATGTTAGAAGTAAATGTGACTTGTTCACTAACATATATTGGATATATTTTCAAGTGTGGTTACAGATATTGTGGATATTTTGAATTATGGTTGACTCTCATTATTACATTAAAATTATAAGTATTTTTAAACCGTATGTTAGATTTTTTTTTTTTTTTTTTTTTTGGAGACGGAGTCTCACTCTGTCATCCAGGCTGGAGTGCAGTGGAGCGATTTCGCTCACTGCAAGCTCCGCCTCCCGGGTTCACGCCATTCTCCTGCCTCAGCCTCCCGAGTAGCTGGGACTGTAGGCGCCCGCCACGGCGCCCGGCTAATTTTTTGTATTTTTAGTAGCGACGGGGTTTCACCATCGTCTCGATTTCCTGACCTTGTGATCCGCCCGCCTCAGCATCCCAAAGTGCTGGGATTACCGGCGTGAGCCACCGTGCCCAGCCAACCATATGTTAGACTTTTTCATAATGTGTTAATAAAGAAACATATACTTTTAATATTACCTTTAAAAATACGTTTGTACCTTGGCATGATTTTTTAGTAATCTTATGAATTTTATTTTGTAATTAAAACAATTTATACGCTCTCTAAATCATAAAAGAGATTCATGGCATAAATAACCCCCATAAAGTTTAGAAAAAAATCATTCTTTCAACTTAGTTTAAATAGTATTAGAATTTCCTGTTTCTTAAAGTTATGGTGGAATTGCACAATAAAAATAGATTGACCTGGTACCTTTTGGTAAATTTCTCTATTTCTTCTACATAGCTGTTTGCTGATTTATATACATTATTAAAATTGTCCATTTTTTTGCAGATCATTTAATTGCATAGTTTACTTATGTATTTTCTTAACATTCTCACCTCTTTTGTGTTTTCTTAACATTCTCCTCTGACAGTGATTATGCTCACTTTGTCACTTAGTTTGAGGTTTCATGTCTTTCCCTTTTGCTTCTAAATATTCTTCTCTTGCCTCCACCCAATCCCTGCCAAGGAAAAAGCTCATATTAGCCACTTTATGATTTGCTTTATTCTTTTGACTTTAATTTTTTCTTCTACTTTCTACAGATTTATTTGACTTTCATTTTTAAATTTATTTAGGAGGATAATTAACATGTATTTCAATTCTGTCTTAGTTAATTATATATATTCAAGGGTCTGAGATTTCCTTTAGCTATAGCTATTAGGTTCTGTTTATAGTGCTTTCTCTACCTTCTTTCCCTTACATATTTTGCAATCTGAGTTTCGAGTTCATTTTGAAATTTAGAATGTGTGTTTGTTTATGTATTGACACATTTAATTTCCAGACGATAGATTTTTTCACTTTCAGATTTTTTCTCCTAAACTAATTTTAAATATTATTTTATTATGATCAAATAGAATTATCTGTAACTTTAATTTTTGCCTATAATTTAAGATTTTTTGTAATTTTAGTAAGATGAAATGTTATGAATATTTCATGAGGTTTAATTTCCTGTG
Organism: Homo sapiens; assembly: GCF_000001405.40. Taxonomy (NCBI): domain Eukaryota; kingdom Metazoa; phylum Chordata; class Mammalia; order Primates; family Hominidae; genus Homo; species Homo sapiens. The sequence continues at coordinate 102,775,844 of NC_000006.12, read as the reverse complement.
GTAAATTTCTTGGGTTCGATAAATATACATTGGGTCTAAATAATATTAACCACATTTTATTTCCTCGAATAAAATATAAATACATATTAGTATAAAAATGCGCATACCTCACAGAATTTGTTAATTTCTTTTAATACTCTGACTTCTTTGCCTAAGTGTACCTTAAAATATGTGTGTATTTTGAAAATTTCATATCAATTGTCTTGAGATAGTATAAAAACTTTAAAACTCAAGAGTTAATATTTTTGAATTTTGATAAATTGTACTCTTTTATTGTCTCATTGTTTTATTACTTCAAGGCAATTATCTGTTCTGTATATCTTGGATATCACTGCTTTTATATCAAAATTATTAAATTTTTAAAGCTGTTTTCTATATTAGTGTGCTTTTACTGAATTTTTCAAATTAAAATTACATTTAATTTTATACCCATAATTAGAAACTATATTTACAATACAACTTTACAAATATGTCAAGATAAAAGAATATATATTGTGATTTCACAAAACTTACTGATCTTTGAAGAAGGCAGAAGTAATGCCAATATAGATAAAACCAATGATCTAATGATTACAAGCAAAGAAAGAAGAATTGTGTTTCTTTTGCAGATGAGGGACAATGAAATATTTTGCTACTATTTTCCCAAACATGAAACAATATTCATATAGAAAAATACCCTCACAAACAATTGATGGGTGATGAATGCATACCAAGTTTGATCTCTTAATTATTAACTGTTGAAATTTTTTGTTTACCCTCTCGATTTACTGTTTCTTCAACACTGTCGTTTAAGTCATTACTATGTTTTCAAGTCTCTCTGCGGTTTGCTTTCATTCTTCTTAGGCCTGTATTTTTCCAACTCTGTTTTTTCACAATCTCTCTCTTGCTATCTCTCTCTCTCTCACACACACACACACACACACACACACAGCCAGGACTATTTTTATCTTCATTTTTCTTCCTTACTTTATAGGAGAGATTGTTTCCACATTATTATTTAATCGCTGGCAGTATGTTCAGTCAAAATATTCATCTCTGCAGTGATAAATTTACTTGTGTCCTTTGGCTAATTCTTATTTGATTGCCATGATATTGTTTTCTGAACAAGTTATTTTCCAGATATTTATGTCAGGGCAGAGACAAGGATGTCTTCCAGAATAAAATGTCTTCTTGTAACCTACTATTTACTGTGAGCTGTTTTAACATTTGTGTCTTTCCATTTAACAAATATTACTCACAAAGACTACTCATAATGCAGAATGTCTCTTTATCCTTATCTCTTTCCAATCAGAAAAGTCCTGGCAAAGGTTTTCTGTTTACAAAACAAAAAGCTGACTTTTCCTGCTTCTCAAGAATTCATACTTAATTTGGTTCAGTAAATACACCCAGCTAGGCTGCATATATGTTTGTATGTTTCCAAAGTGTGATTATTGTATTTTAATTTCAGATGAGCCTACTTACTTTAAAAAACAATATTTTGTCAGCCTTACTTTATAAATTTCGGCATAAAATTCCCATTAGAGTTTGCTCCCAGGCACCTACATGTACACACAGATACATATAGATAAATATCCATATGAACATAGACATAAATAGTGTGTGTGTGTCTGTGTGTGTGTGTGTGTGTGTGTGTGTGAACTTTGGTATACAGACATCTCCTAGTCTCATGGATGATGACTATGGGTTTTTCTATATATGGTGTTGCTTTGGGGTGGTTTTTCGACAAGAGGAAACTATCTCTTTTATCTGAAGTATAAAATTAGAATGAAAGCTATGTTTCTAATCTCACATTTTACTTTATCAAAGAATAATGTGTTATTATAATCTACAGTTTTGTAGAAAAATTACATTACCAAGAAAATTTCTGGAAAGCAGCATAAAAAGTGATATAGGTAATTTGAAAGAAAGCCTGCAGTTTGATGCTGCTGACGGTAATTAGGTTTTGTTGTCTGGGCCACATTCTTATTTGACTTCACACATTTTCATTTGAACACCAACTGTTACAAGGCATATGGACTTCCATAGCAATCCCATATGCTACATAATGGCTGCCTGCTATCTATTTAGGATTCGAACAATGATGAGACTTCATAATGATGGTAAAGTAGGGCAACTTTAAACTCTTTATCTAGTTTGGTGTACATCTTAGAGACTCTAAAGCACAGAATCCTACTGTTGGGTTTTCTTAGGTTTTGTTTCTCCCTATGTACATTTTAAGGTTGAGGAGCAATGTTTATAAAATACTATAAAATATAGCACTCTATATGAGAAATATCTTATATTAAAAGCAAATATCTGTAATGCCTAAGCATATATTCATTTGTGAGCATCATGTTTCTTATAAAATATGCTTTAAAGAGAAACACCAAATTAGCTAAGCAACTTAATAACACAAATTATAGATACCTAAACTACCTAAATGAAAAACTATTGTAATGAACATGACCCAAAGTATCCATATTGTTTTCCAAGGGAAAATTTCCATATGAAGGGACCATAATTGGAGAGAATACATAATATTAACAAAATAGTTTGAATATCTATGTTTAAATATCACTCAGGCTGCTTAAATCTTTGAAAATCTTTGTCTACATGAAATGCAGAAATTTTAGGTTTGAAACAAAATTTTTTAATTAATCCATTCAAGATTTAAAAGTATTTGGAGTTTGGTTTTTTTTTTTAAATCTTAGTTAATCTTTGTTGCTATAACAGAATACCACAGGCAGGGTAATTTATAAGGAAAAGAAATTTATATCTTACAGTTCTGGAAGCTGAGAAGTCCTAAGTCAAGGGCCACATCTGGTGAAGGCTTTCTTGTTGAATCGTAACATGGTGGAGAACATCACATGGCAAAAGGGCAAGAGCATGCCACCTCAGGTCTCTCTTTCTTTTCTTCTAAAGCCACTAGTCCCATCATGTGAACCACACACTGATGACCTTATCTAATCCAGAATTATCTTCCAAAGTTCCTACTTTCACAAGGTCCCACTTCCAAATACCATCAACATATGCATTTTCAAATTAAGTTTCCAACACAGGAAATGTGGCATACACATTTAAATTGTACCAGGCTCTTAATATTACTTTTTAATATATAATTTTAGCTTTTATTTTAGATTCAGGGGGTACATGTGTAGGTTTGTGACATGAGTATATCACATGATCCTGAGGTTTGGGGTATGAATGATTCCATCACACAGGTGGTGAACATAGTACCCAATAGGTAGTTTTTAACCCTTACTCTTCTCCCTACCTTCCCCTATTAGAGTCCCCAGTGTTTATTATTGCCATCTTCATATCCATGTGTACTGAATACTTAGCTCCCACTTATAAATGAGAATATGTGGTATTTGGTTTTTGGTTCCTGTGTTAGTTCACTTAAAATAATGAGCTCTAGCTACATCCATGTTGCTGCAAAAACATGATTTTATTCTTTTCTATGGCTGTGTAGTATTCCATGGTGTATGTGTACTATATTTTCTTTATTCAACTCACTGTCGATAGGCATATAGGTTGATTCCATCCCTTTGCTATTGTGAATAGTGCTATAATAAACATACGAGTACACATCTAGTATATAAATAAAGTATAGTGATTTATTTTCCTTTGAGTATATGCCCAGTAATGGGATTGCTGGGTCATTTGGTAGTTCTGCTTTAAATTCCTTGAGAAATCTCCAAACTGCTTTTCACAGTGGCTGAACTAATTTACATTCTCACCAACACTGTATAATCTTCCCCTTTCTCTGCAACCTTACCAGGATCTGTTATTTTTTGACTTTTCAATAATAACCATTCTGACTGGTGTGAGATGGTATCTCATTGTGGTTTTGATTTTCATTTATCCAATGATTAGTGATGTGGAGCTTTTTTTTATATGTTTGTTGACCACTTGTATGTCTTCATTTGAGAAATGTTCGTTAAGGTCTTTTGTCTACTTTTTAATGTTTTTTGTTGTTGTTGTTGCTTCTTGAATTGTTTAAGTTCCTCAGATATTCTGAATAGTAGACCTTTGTCAAATACATAGTTTGAAAATATTTTCTTCCATTCTGCATGCTGTCTGTGTAATCTGTTGGTATTAATAATTTATTTTGCTGTGCAGAGACTCTTCAATTAGGTCCCACTTGTCAATTTTTGTTTTAGTTGCAATTGCTTTTGAGGTCTTAGCCATAAGTTATTTGTCAAGGCTGATGTACAGAATGATATTCCTAGGTTTTCTTCCAGTATTTTTATAGTTTGAGGTCTTACATTTAAATCTTTGATCCCTCTTGGGTTAATTTTTGTATATGGTGAAAAGTCAGAGTCCAGTTTCATTCTTCTGCATATGAATAGCCAGCTACCCCAGCACCACTTATTGAATAGGGAGTCCTTTCACATTGCTTAGTTTTGTTGACTTTGTCAAAGATCAAATGATTGTAAATGTGCAGTTGTATTTCTGGGTTCTCTATTCTGTACTATCGATCTGCTTGTGGCAATGTTATGCTTTCAGCTTTGTTATTTTTGCTTAGAATTGCTTTGACTATTTGGGGTCTTTTATGTTTCATATGAATTTTAGAATAGTTTTGCTAATTCTGTGATAAATGAATTCTATGAAAACTGGTAGTGTGAAAGAAATAGCATTGAATCTGTTGATTGCTGGGCAGTATGGCCATTTAATGATATTGATTACTTCAATCCATGAGCATTGAATATTTTCTTTCATTTATTTATGTCATCTATGATTTTTTCCAGATGGAAATTTGGAAGTTCCAAGAACTTCCAAAACTATATGTTTTGTAGTTCTTGTTGTAGAGAGCTTTCACTTCCTTGGTTAGATATATTACTAAGTATCATAGAAAAGACATATAAAAATCATTGGAAACATTTTTAACATAATGTTTAAAAGTCCAGATTGTATTTGATCAATGACAAAATATTGATTAAATAAACTCATAGAATAGCATTATTCTGAATTGACAATAAACTTATGTTTCAGGATAATGTTTAGTAACCCAAGATATTGGTGAATATAATGTATAAATTGCCAGGAAAACAACTAACAAAGTGGTTAGAATTAGAGCACCACTGCCGTAAGCGTATATATTAAAAAGAGAGAAAAATTTTTAAAAGATCAAGGAATATAGGAATACTCAGAGTGCTTAGGGGAAAGACTTAAAGTAAGCCCCAAATGTCAATAGTCTATTTATCTTAAAATAATTTAGAGATAATTAGTTGTGTGGTTATTAATAAACTTTGGTATAGCTTTTAAAATAACCTAGTTAAAAATGTATAGTTTTTAAAAATGTGGATTCTACATATTCATTTTTCCATTTTATTGTTCTGTGCATGCACACACGCACACACACACATGCATGAATAGAAAACTTGAAAGACTCCACCAAATGCTCCTGGAACAGATGAATGACTTCAGTAAACTTTTGGGATACAAAATTGATGTACAAAATGAGTAGAATTTCTATGCACCAAAAACATTCAAACTGAGGAGCAAATCAAGAATGCACCCTTATTTGCAGTAGCCACAAAACATAAAGTATGTAGAAATGTATCTAATAAAAGAGGTGAAAAATCTCTGTAAAAAGAACTACAAAACACTGCTGAAAAAAATCATAGATAACACATACAAAAGAAAAAATATTCCATGCTCATGGATTGGAGGAATCAATATTGTTAAAATGGCTATACTGCTCAAAGCAATCTACTAATTCAATGCTATTTCCTATCAAACTACCAATGTTATTTTTCACAGAATTAGAAAAAAAAAACTATTCTAAGATTCATATGAACTCAAAAAGAACCTGAATAACCAAAGCAATTCTGAGTGAAGAGAACATAGCCAAAGCATCACATTACTTGACTGCAAACTATACTATAAGGCTACAGTAACCAAAACTGCATGACATTGATACAAAAGCAGACACATAGACTAATGAAACAGAATACAGAACCTAGAAAAAAAATCCATACAAAATCGACAAAAATAAGCAACAAAAATGACTCCCTATTCAATAATTAATGGTGCTTGAATAGCTGTATAGCCATATGCAGAATGAAACTGGACTCCTGCTTTTTATCATATGGAACCAAAAAAGAGCCAAAACAAAATTTAAACAAAAATTAACTCAAGCTGCATTAAAGAATAAGATGTGACATAATTAAACTAAGGAGTTTCTACACAGAAAAAGAAATCAACAGAATAAACAGAAAACCTACAGAATGGGAGAACACATTCACAAACTATGCATTTGACATGGGTCTATAATCTAGAATCTGTCAGAAACTTAATTCAACAACAAAATAATAACAATAATAACCCTATTAAAAATGGTATAAGGAAGGTGTCCAGCTTCAGTCTTTTGCATATGGCTAGCCAGTTATCTTAGCATCAATTATTAAATTACATATTTTACTCATTACTTGCTTTTGTCAGCTTTGTGGAAGATCAGATGGTCATAGGTGTGCAGCCTTATCTGGGGCCCTTTATTCTGTTCCATTGCTCTATGTGCCCGTTTTTGTACCAGTACCATACTGTTTTGGTTATTGTAGCCCTGTAATATAGTTTGAGGTCAGGTAGCATGATGCCTCCAGCTCTGTTCTTTATGCTTAGGATTGCCTTGGTTATTTGGGCTCTTTTTTGATTCCATATGAATTTTAAAATAGCATTTTTTCTACTTCTGTGAATGCACTTGATAGTTTAATAGAAAGAACACTGAATCTCTAAATTGCTTTGGGCAGTATGAATATTTTAATGATATTGATTCTTCCTATCCATGAGCATGGAATGTTTTTCAATTTGTGTCTTCTCTGATTTCTGAGCAGTGTTTTGCAATTTTCCTTGTAGAGATCTTTCACCTCCCTTGTTATCTGTATTCCTAGATATTTCATTGTTTTCGTGGAAATTGTGAATGGGATTGCTTTTCTGATTTGGCTCTCAGCTTTGCTGTTGATGGTGTATAGGAATGCTAGTGGTTTTTGTATGCTGATTTTTTTTATCCTGAAACTTTGCTGAAGTTGTTTATCAGCTAAAGGAGCTTTGGGCCAAGACTATGGAGTTTTCTAGATATAGAATTACATTATCTGAAAACAGAGATAGTTTGACCTCCTCTCTTTCTATTTGGATGCCCTTTATTTCTTTCTCTTGCCGGATTACTCTGGCTAGGACTTTCAATACTATTTTGAACAATATGTATTAAAAAATTAAATGTAAATCCCCAAACTATAAAAACCCTGGGTGACAACAAAGGCAATACCATCTTGGACAAAGGAATGAGGAAAGATTTCATGAAAAATATACCAAAAGCAATAGCAACAAAATAAAAACAGACAAGTGATATCTAATAAACTTAATACCTTCTGCATAGCAAAAGAAATTATCAACAAACAGACAACCTGTACAATGGGAGAAAATATTTGCAAACTATACATCTGACAAAGGTCTAATATCCAGCATCTGTAAGAAACATAAACAAATTTACAAGAGAAACAACCCCTTAAAAATGGACAAAGGACATGAAGGCTTTTGAAAAAGAGACAAACATGCAACCAACAAGCATATGAAGAAAAGTTCAACATCACTGATCATTAGAGAAATGCAAATCGAAACCACAATGAGATACCATTTCACACAAGTCAGAATAGCTATTATTAAAAAGTCAAAAAATCACAGATGCTGGAGAGGTCACACAGAAAAGAGAGCACTTATATATTGTTGGGTGAAATGTAAATTAGTTCAACCATTATGGAAAACAGTATGGTAATTCCTCAAAGAGCTGAAAGCAAAAGTACTATTCCACCCAGCAAACTCATTACTGGGCATATACCCAGAGGAATATAAATCATTCTACCATAAAGACATATGCACACAAATGTTCATTGCAGCACTATTTACAATAGCAAAGACATGGAATCAACCTAAATGTCCATCAACGATAGGTTGCATTTAAAAAATGTGGTACATATACACCATGGAATACTGTGCAGTCATTAAAAAGAATGGGATCATGTCTTTTGTGGGAACATGGATGTAGCTGGAGGCTAGTATCCTCAGCAATCTAATGCAGGAACAGAAAACCAAATACCACATGTTATCAACTATAAGTGGGAGCTAAATGATGAAAACTTGTGAACACAAAGAAAGAAACAACAGACACTGGGATCTAGTTGAGGGTAGGGGGCAAGAGGAGAGAGAGGAGTAGACAAGATAACTATTGGGTACTGGGTTTGATACCTGGGTGATGAAATAATGTGTACAACAAACCCCCATGACATGAGTTTACCTATATAACAAACTTTCACATGTACCTCTGAACCTAAAATAAAAGTTAAAATAGCATGGACAAAAGACGTAAACAGACACACCTCTTAAAAGAAGACACAAAAATGGCCAACAAACCAATACTCCACATCAACAATCAGAGAAACGCAAATCAAAACCACAATGAGATAGCATCTCACAAGAGACAGAATAGCTCTTTCTAAAGTGCCAAAAAAAACAAACAAACAAACAAACAAACAAACAAAAAAAACAGACTCTGGAGAGACTATGGAGACAGGGAATGCTTATATACTCTTCGATGGAATATAAATTAGTTCAGCCTCTGTGGAAAATGGTTTGGAGATTTCTCAAAAATCTTACAACATAACTATCATTTGACTCAGCAGTCCTGTTACTGGGCATATATCCAAAAAATATAAATTATTCTACCAAAATGACACATCAACTCATATGTTCTTTGAGGCTCTATTCACAGTAGCAAAGACATGGAATCAACCCAAATGTTCATCAGCGGTGGATTGGATGAAGAATATATGGTACATATATACCATGGAATACTACCCAGCCATAAAAATCATAGAATAATGTCATTTGCAACAACATGGATGCAGCAGGAGGCCATTATTCTACGTAAATTAATGAAGGAACAGAACATCAAATACTGCATATTTTCACTTATAAGTGGGAGATAACTACTGGGCACTCATGGACATAAAAATGGCAACAGTAGACATTACTGTAATACATACCACTAGAGAGGGAAAGGAGTGATGGGAGTAAGGGTTGAAATACTAACTGTTGGGTATTATGCTCACTGCCTGAGTGAGGGGATCATTTGTATCCCAAATCTCATCATAACACAGCATATCTGTGTAAAAACGTACACATGTAGCCTCTGCATCTAAAATGAAAGTTGAACTTATTTTTTTAAAGTGAAATTTGCTTTTTTCACTGAGGAAAATGCCTTTACAATACACACAAATTGTTTCATGTATTATTACTTAAGTCTTTATTTTATATTGCTAAATAGTATTTGCAGTATTGATCTATCACACTTTACCTACTTACCTGATAATGTATATTTTTATTGTTTTCAGTTTTTAAAATTAGAAATGAATCTACTGTAAATATTCATGTATGGAGTTTTTCTTTAAAAAACAGTACTCATTTATCTGGGGTAAATGCCCAAGATTGCAACTGCTTGCACCTATCTTATGTGTATGCTTAATTGTGGAAAATATTTTATTTACATATAGAATTTTTAAATTGTATAAATCTAGTAATTTGCACCCTATAGTCTTTTTTTTCAGGATGAGAAGTATTATTTTTATAGAGATTCATCCACTTCTTTTAAATGAACAAACTACTGTCATAAACTGGTTTGTAAATTTTCTTCATGTTATTTTTTCTCATCTTAGAATATATTTTAATATTACATTTCTTTGTATATTATAACAATTTTACATTTTTTATTATAGTAATTGCCCTGGAGATGAAAACATGCATCTTTAAATATTCGAAGTGGAATATAAATTATTACTTTTGCCCCTTCAAGGAGAATGTAATTAACTTAGAACATTTCCATTCTATTTCCCTTCTTCCTGAATGGCATTATGAGATTGTACACTCATCTTTAAATTGTAAACTCAGAATGACATTATTACAATTGTTTACATGGCCAATATTTATATTTACACAAATTTTTACCTTTTATTGTTTATTTTTGCTCTATGCCTGAGTTTCCACCTGAAATCATGGGTTTCTGCGCTGCCCTTCTCATGCCGCCACCAAAAAGAAAATTCATTTATTCTTGAATGTGGATCCCCTGTTCATATACTGAATTGATTGACTGTTTTCTGTTTGTTTGTTTGTTTGTTTTTTAATTTTGTGTGTGTTTGTGGGGTTTGGTCTGAAAATATTCATCTCATTTTTATTCCTGAAGTTTGTTTTTTTCTGAATGTAGCATTTTCGGTAAGCACATTTTTTTTCACCATATATTTATGAAATTATTCTATGCCTCTGGCTTTTACTTATTATTTGCTAAGTTTAAAAATAAGGTTTTAGACTTATTTTTGCTTTCAATGATAGCATACATTTCCCCCTAGTTATTTTAAAAATTTATTTGCTTTTGTTCTTCAACAGTTTTGTTATATGCCTGAATGTAATGCTCCTTTTGTTTATCCTGGTTTGGTATTGTTCTCTTTTGTAACATATTCTTTGATACTTGTGTGTTAACAATTACAACTATTCTCAGCTATTTTCTCTTAAACTTTTTTTTTCTATTTTTAAGACTCTGTGTAGAGGTATCTCAAGGCTTTTTCCTATATTCTCTGTGTACTATACACTTCAATTTTTTTCTTCTCCTTGCATCTGTTGAATACTTTCTGTTAAATATCTTCCAATGCATGATTTAGCTTATAATGTTTGTCTGTTCTCTTGTCAAACCCATCCATTGAGTTATTAATTCTATTCTGCATTTTTCATTTTTTTTCTGGTTTACTATTTGCCTAAATTATTAAACTGATTTGTTTTTCATTTATTTAAACTTCAAGCATGGCTACTTTATATTTCTCATATGATACTCCATTTTCTGTATCAGTGTTTCTATCCATATTGTCTGTTGTCATACCTAAGTTTCATTCATCTATTCATGCCTCCTTGTATGTTTGGTTGTTATTTAATTGGATGTCACATACTGAATATGAAAAATTGTGCAGGTAAGTTGGAACTCTTGATAATACTTTTTCTTATGTACATTTCCATAAAGCAAATAGACTCAGTAGTATTATCTTAATTCAAAAGGTGAGATTGGCTCTAAATTGAGCTTCAGGCCCTTTAAGATCAGTCTTTAGTTCACAATTATTTCTATGACCAAAAAGCAAAACCTGAGATGTTTAACATGCCTCTTACCCATTGCTCTTTGAGTAAAAATTTTGAACATGTCTTTTTTTTTTCTTTTTTTTTTTTTTTTAGACAGAGTCTCGCTGTCACCACGCCACAGTGCAGTGCAGTGGCACGATCTCAGCTTACTGCAATCTCCGCCTCCGAAGTTCAAAGGATTCTCCTGTCTCAGCCTCCTGAGTAATTGGGATTACGCTTACAGGTGTGTGCCACCACACCTGCCCGCATATTAATCTTTAAGTGAGTTAAACGTTCTTCTGAGCTTCTCAGTTTTTCACGCATTTGACCTCAAATTAACAATCAGCTGCTGCTATTATAATCAGCAGAGACTTCTGCATACAAGTTTAGATTCGATTCTAACTTCTCTGGCTAGGTTCAATATATGACCTCTGACAAGTATTACTTTCTGTATAGACACATTCTCCCTCTCACATTAAGAAAGAGACCTATGACACTTCCCCACAGCTGCTGAACCTTTGAATATTTTGGCCAATTAAATGTGAAGGAAGTAACATTTCAAGTCCAGGCATTAAGAAAACTTCAAAGCTCCCGCATTCTGCTATTTGAAGCTCTGAGTAGACAAGTAATAACCCCAGGCTACCCTGTTAGTGACAGAGGCTACATGGAGAGGTCCTGGAGAATGAAATACCATATGGAGAGAGAGGACTACAGGGGACTTCTGAAGTTTCAGATATCTAACCTCAGGCAGAGCTCCTGCCGCCATCTGAATGCAATCACATAAGAAATTTAAAGTGAGACCATTAGGGAAACTATCCAACTCAGCTCAGCCAATCTATGGAATTGTGAGATATAAGCAATAATGGGTTTGGGCCATTAAATTTTGTGGTGATTTTTTATGGGGCCATAGACCATAAAACAGAATTTTGTATCTAGAATAAGGTGATGTCAAAGAAATACTGAAAACATATTGTTTCACTGGGTCAAAGTGTAAGCATCAGATAGAACCAGGAAGGGTCTGAAAGATACTGTTAGTGAGTATTTGAAAAATGAAGAAGAAATTGTATTTAAGCCAGACCTGTTATATACTAGCAGGACAGTTAGCAAAATTCTTACCAGAGGTAACATGGAAGATAGAAAGAGTACCTAAAAAAATTATGGATTGTGCTAAATAAATTTCCAAGCCTAAAATTTAAAATATCAATGAGCTTCTTTTATTTGTATGTAGTAAAATGTTTTTAGGCAGAATCTAGGTGAAATATAAATAAACATAAAATTATCTTCTTCCTCCTGAGCTTTCTAGGTAGTAAAATATTACCATTGCAAAAAAAAAAAAAAAAAAAAAAAGGCCTTAGGGTAGAGCTCAGATCTAACAGACTGCTAGGAAGATATGATCTCATGGTAAAATTCAGACTTACTGTCATGACCTCAGGAAGATTTAAGATGTTACCTCATTGTCTCTATTATTTTGGCCAAAACACTTCTAAGAATCCTAGGGGTATGAAACCTGGACCTGCTCAAATAAGTAGTTGTATTCCTAATACTGTAGAAGTGATTCACTTCTAAAGTATTCACTTCTAATAGGTAATTAACCTATTTAAACTTTATGTGTAATACATGGTAGAGAATATATTGTCTTGGAAAAAAACTGGGAGTGCATTTTGTCTAACTGAGGTGATTATAATTTGCTAATAAAAAATCTCAAAAAGTTTTTAAAGTGCCAGATTTATGTAAACTAACCAGAGAAGTCTCTTGTCTCTCAAATCTCTACAGCCAGCAAATGGGCTGCAAAAGACATTCTGTGAAAACATGGGCCACTTATTGGGGATGTGAAGAATGATTCACAATGTAGAATTAAGTGCCCAGAGATCTCAGCCAAAAGTCATGAGGAACCACTGCTAGAGATCAGAACTGGTCCTTAATTAAGGACTCCAAAGTGTCAGAATTGTGTGTGACTACTCTGTGTCTCCCATGTTCCTTCTTTATAATAGAGTATCTCCTGCAGTTTTATTGTTCCTCATGTGCCATTTTTCTCATAAAGGTAGGGGCAGATAACTTGTTTCTCTGTTTTTTCCCTCCACAGGTAATCAAATTTACTGTTTTTGAGAATTATCCAAAACATGAAAATAGGAAAAGATTACTAGATTTTTCTCCCATGCAGTGTTGGGTTTGAAACTCTGATTGGATTTTTAATTGAATGATTTTACAACTTGGGAGGGGTAAATATTAACTTAGAAATTTTTGATTAGTAAAGATCTCAATATCTTCTTTCTTTACGAAAAGATAAGCCTAAAGGGTACACACAGGTTACTCCCCTCTTGGATGGTAACCCAATAATCTTATTCTAACATATTTTCATTAAATTGTCTATGAATAATTAGCTGAAGTCTTATAAGAACCATTTTTAACATCTTATTGATTACATCATTAGCTAATAAATAAAATCAAGTCAATTGAATGTACTTATTGTATAATTTTATGAGTTATATTTTCTAATATTTTAGAAATTACTTTTAATAAAATGAAACATACCCGAAAGAGCTGCTTCTATGGAACAATTCCTGAAAAGCTTAATTTTCATCTGGATTTGATTTACATGACAAGATAATGGATTTTGAGTTGATGCCATAATTGAAGATGAATTTGAGTCTTGGGATGGAGACACGATTTATTTTGCACAGGGGAAAAATAGGAATAGTTTTTTTCAGGGAGTAGAATGTGATGGCTAGTTTCCAGAGACGACCAAAAAAACATCTGCACCTATTTTTGTACTTGATGCTCACTTAAGAGATGAAACTTACTTTCCCTCCTATTGAACCCGGCTTGAGGTATGGGACTACTATGATAAAGAGATGGTGGAAAAATTATCATACTGAAACTTCTGAGCCCAGCATTAAGAAGCTCTGAAAGCGCATCTTATTTTGCCTTTATTCTGTTAAAAAAATTGCTTTCTTTTTATATATATTTTTTCTCTGCTAAAGTCATTCAATTGTTCCCTTTTTACATTTTGAAAATCATACTAGTTTTTTATTTTCTTATTATCTTTAAATTTTAGCCCAATAAATTATTGCAATTGAATCTCTATGCAAAACTTTCAAAATAATTTTTTACCCTAAAAAGGGCAATTACAATTAATTAAAAATATTATATTCAAATACATCAAATAGCTGCAAACTGAATTTCCTGGAATGTGTAGAACATATGCATTTTTTGGCTATTTAAGTAGGTTTAAATTACATTTTAAATTAAATATGAACTAACTTCAATACTATATAAATAAATGTTAGTTGCTAAATAGGCTATCTTAGTGATTTTATAAACTCTTATATGTAAATAATTATTTTGTAATTCTTGGTACCATGTCAATATGAACTTTTAAATTAGGAATTACTTTTAAAATCAGGAATGACTCATATTATTCAATACAAATACAAAATAAAGATGTCATCAATCTAGGGCAATCATTAATGGTAGGCCAAAGCACAGGTATGTAGCTTCCTTTCTAATATAATCTCATACCTCACTTTTTTTTTTAGAATTACAATAATAATGAAATGTTTCATAGTTGTGAATAAATTGTCATATAAATTATTAACTGAAATATAATTTATGTTAATTAATACATGTTAGTAGGATTGTTTTATATCTGTATTATTTAACTAAAAAAACTAATATTTAAAATATTTTTATAAATGTTTCTGCTTAACTTTATTTTAATCATCATTTGATTTTGATATAGACATCAGTCGAATTATTAACTCATGTCACACTGAACCAAATAATTCATGTTATCCATAAATACATATGATTGTTGAATTGGGCTATATGTCAACAATTAAAAACACAAAGATATATTATTTAATGATTATAGAAATCATCAAAATGCAAGATTATCTATTATATGCTTTATTAAATATGTGAAAACAATGCCTCATATATCAAATGTATTCATTTACTTTTTATACTATTTGTAGAGGTATTTATTTACATAAACATATTTCATTCAAATATGGAAACTCAATATGCCAATTTCTAAAAAGTAAATAACTAAAAATCCCTATTGGAAACATTTTTTAGAAACATTAAAATAGGAGAACTAGCAGCAATGAATCTGAGTATTTTAGGAAAGGAATGATATTTAATAAACACAGCAAACATCTTTCTTCTCTGCCCTTCAAGGCCTCACCATAACCACTAACAAATGGCCAACATAATACTATTACTATTCTTAACAAAGGCCTTAGGAGAGGACAGAGATTCATGGATGCATTAGATTCTCCAGTTATAGAGCAAATAGTAGACCTACTTTAACAAAATAAATTTGTAAACATTAAAAAATATAGTTTATATAACATGGCTTAAAAAAGCAAAAATAGATATATGCTTGTTTCAAAATTCCTCAAAGACATTACTGCCATAGTAGAAAAAATGCACATGAAAGCAGAAGAATATCAGAAAATGTTTCCAAACAGTTAAATAAACATAATAAAACATTTAAGCATGTATTATTTTGGAAACTTTCTGATGTTCAATTAAGGTTTTTTTTGTTTATTTTGGCTGGTTTTGGTTTTGATTTTGTTTTGATTATATTAATAGACTGAACACTCAATATATCCCGAGATTATGCTGTCTCCTTTTTCATGAAGATTATATTACCTTACGTTAGTATCACTGTCTTATATTATTTTATTTTTTACATATCTATTTAAAATAAAAGCCAAGTAAACATATTGTAGAAAATATGACCACAATCCACAACTTTAAGTAAACTTTTATCGAGTAGCAATGTTTTTTGCAATCTATATTTTTATATATCCATAGGAAATTAGAAGTAATCTAATAATAAACTTCGAATAAAATGGCAATAAACAATTTACCATAAAAGCTTATTAGTATAAATATAAGCATTATTATCTAAATAATTATTTGTGGCAGCAATTTTCAAAAGTACTAAAAATACAGTCTTAAAAAAGCAAATACTGAATTTGAAGCCAGCCTGGCCAACATGGTGAAACCCCATCTCTATTAAAAAATACCAAAACTAGCCAGGCAAGGTGGCGGGTGCCTGTAATCCCAGCTACGCAGGAGGCTGAGGCAGGAAACTTGTTGGAACTCAGGAGGCATAGGTTGCAGTGAGTCATGCCATTGCACTCCAGCCTGGGAAGCAGAGCAACACTTTGTCTCAAAATTAAAAAAAAAAAATAAGTAAATACTTACATAAAATTGGAAATAAGCTATTCATGGTGTTCATGTAGAGGAAAAGTATTATACAGCATATTTAAAGCAGATAGAACTTTATTGTACTAAACATAAAATATAAAGGGAAGTACATTGGCTATAATAATTTTGTCCTGGCAAATATGAGATTTGTCAGTCTTAGCCTCATAATTGTTTAAAATATGTTAAGTGAGATAACCAAATACTCTTCCCTCTCCTTTAGGAGTAAGCACCTACAAATTCTGTAATACCTACTATCACTTAAAATTTGATTTGTTAATTTGATTAGTAGTACTTTTAGCTCTTTAGGAGGTGACAAACCACTGGAGTATGTATTAGTCAGGGTTCTCTAGAGGAACTAATAGAATAGATGTATATATGAAGAGGAGTTCATTAAGGAGTATTGACTCACATGATCACAAGGTGAAGTCCCACAATAGGCCGTCTGTAAGCTGAGGAGCAAGGAGGCCAGTCCAAGTTCCAAAACCTCAAAAGTAGGGAAGCCAATAATGCAGCCTTCAGTCTGCGGCCAAAGGCCTGAGAGCCCCTGGCAAACCACTGGTATAAGTCCAAGAGTCAAAAAGCTGGAGGGGAGGAGCCAATATGGCCGAATAGGAACAGCTCCAGTCTACAGCTCCCAACCTGAGCCACGGAGAAGACAGGTGATTTCCGCATTTCCATCTGAGGTACCGGGTTCATCTCACTAGGGAGTGCCAGACAGTGGGCGCAGGTCAGTGGGTGCGCGCACCAGGCGCCAGCCGAAGCAGGGGGAGGGATTGCCTCACTCGGGAAGCGCAAGGGGTCAGGGAGTTCCCTTTCGGGGTCAAAGAAAGGGGTGATGGAAGGCACCTGGAAAATCGGGTCACTCCCACCCGAATACTGCGCTTTTCCGAGGGGCTTAAAAAACGGCTCAACACAAGATTATATCCCTCACCTGGCTTGGAGGGTCCTACGCCCACGGAGTCTCACTGATTGCTAGCACAGCAGTGTGAGATCAAACTGCAAGGCGGCAGCGAGGCTGGGGGAGGGGCGCCCGCCATTGCCCAGGCTTGATTAGGTAAACAAAGCAGCTGGGAAGCTTGAACTGGGTGGAGCCCACCACAGCTCAAGGAGGCCTGCCTGCCTCTGTAGGCTCCACCTCTGGGGACAGGGCACAGACAAACAAAAAGACAGCAGTAACTTCTAGACTTAAATGTCCCTGTGTGACAGCTTTAAAGAGAGCAGTGGTTCTCCCAGCACACAGCTGGAGATCTGAGAACGGGCAGACTGCCTCCTCAAGTGGGTCCCTGACCCCTGACCCCCGAGCAGCCTAACTGGGAGGCACCCCCCAGCAGGGGCACACTGACACCTCACATGGCAGGGTATTCCAACAGACCTGCAGCTGAGGGTCCTGTCTGTTAGAAGGAAAACTAACAAACAGAAAGGGCATCCACACCAAAAACCCATCTGTACATCACCATCATCAAAGCCCAAAAGTAGATAAAACCACAAAGATGGGGAAAAAACAAAACAGAAAAACTGGAAACTCTAAAAAGCAGAGCGCCTCTCCTCCTCCAAAGGAACGCAGTTCCTCACCAGCAACAGAACAAAGCTGGATGGAGAATGACTTTGACGAGCTGAGAGAAGAAGGCTTCAGACGATCAAATTACTCTGAGCTACGGGAGGACATTCAAACCAAAGGCAAAGAAGTTGAAAACTTTGAAAAAAATTTAGAAGAATGTATAACTAGAATAACCAATACAGAGAAGTGCTTAAAGGAGCTGATGGAGCTGAAAACCAAGGCTCGAGAACTACGTGAAGAATGCAGAAGCCTCAGGAACCGATGCGATCAACTGGAAGAAAGGGTATCAGCGATGGAAGATGAAATGCATGAAATGAAGCGAGAAGGGAAGTCTAGAGAAAAAAGAGTAAAAAGAAATGAGCAAAGCCTCCAAGAAATATGGGACTATGTGAAAAGACCAAATCTACGTCTGATTGGTGTTCCTGAAAGTGATGGGGAGAATGGAACCAAGTTGGAAAACACTCTGCAGGATATTATCCAGGAGAACTTCCCCAATCTAGCAAGGCAGGCCAACGTTCAGATTCAGGAAATACAGAGAACGCCACAAAGATACTCCTTGAGAAGAGCAACTCCAAGACACATAATTGTCAGATTCACCAAAGTTGAAATGAAGGAAAAAATGTTAAGGGCAGCCAGAGAGAAAGGTCGGGTTACCCTCAAAGGGAAGCCCATCAGACTAACAGCGGATCTCTCGGCAGAAACCCTACAAGTCAGAAGAGAGTGGGGGCCAATATTCAACATTCTTAAAGAAAAGAATTTTCAACCCAGAATTTCATATCCAGCCAAACTAAGCTTCATAAGTGAAGGAGAAATAAAATCCTTTACAGACAAGCAAATGCTGAGAGATTTTGTCACCACCAGGCCTGCCCTAAAAGAGCTCCTGAAGGAAGTGCTAAATATGGAAAGGAACAACCGGTACCAGCCGCTGCAAAATCATGCCAAATTGTAAAGACCATCGGGACTAGGAAGAAACTGCATCAACTAATGAGCAAAATAACCAGCTAACACCATAATGACAGGATCAAATTCACACATAACAATATTAACTTTAAATGTAAATGGACTAAATGCTCCAATTAAAAGACACAGACTGGCAAATTGGATAAAGAGTCAAGACCCATCAGTGTGCTGTATTCAGGAAGCCCATCTCACGTGCAGAGACACATATAGGCTCAAAATAAAAGGATGGAGGAAGATCTACCAAGCAAATGGAAAACAAAAAAAGGCAGGGGTTGCAATCCTAGTCTCTGATAAAACAGACCTTAAACCAACAAAGATCAAAAGAGACAAAGAAGGCCATTACATAATGGTAAAGGGATCAATTCAACAAGAAGAGCTAACTATCCTAAATATATATGCACCCAATACAGGAGCACCAAGATTCATAAAGCAAGTCCTGAGTGACCTACAAAGAGACTTAGACTCCCACACATTAATAATGGGAGACTTTAACACCCCACTGTCAACATTAGACAGATCAACGAGACAGAAAGTCAACAAGGATACCCAGGAATTGAACTCAGCTCTGCACCAAGCGGACCTAATAGACATCTACAGAACTCTCCACCCCAAATCAACAGAATATACATTTTTTTCAGCACCACACCACACCTGTTCCAAAATTGTCCACATAGTTGGAAGTAAAGCTCTCCTCAGCAAATGTAAAAGAACAGAAATTATAACAAACTATCAGACCACAGTGCAATCAAACTAGAACTCAGGATTAAGAATCTCACTCAAAACCGCTCAACTACATGGAAACTGAACAACCTGCTCCTGAAAGACTACTGGGTACATAATGAAATGAAGGCAGAAATAAAGATGTTCTTTGAAACCAATGAGAACAAAGACACAACATACCAGAATCTCTGGGACGCATTCAAAGCAGTGTGTAGAGGGAAATTTATAGCACTAAATACCCACAAGAGAAAGCAGGAAAGATCCAAAATTGACACCCTAACATCACAATTAAAAGAACTAGAAAAGCAAGAGCAAACGCATTGAAAAGCTAGCAGAAGGCAAGAAATAACTAAAATCAGAGCAGAACTGAAGGAAATAGAGACACAAAAAACCCTTCAAAAAATCAATGAATCCAGGAGCTGGTTTTTTGAAAGGATCAACAAAATTGAGAGACCGCTAGCAAGACTAATAAAGAAAAAAGAGAAGAATCAAATAGACGCAATAAAAAATGATAAAGGGGATATCACCACCGATCCCACAGAAATACAAACTACCATCAGAGAATACTACAAACATCTCTATGCAAATAAACTAGAAAATCTAGAAGAAATGTATAAATTCGTCGACACATACACTCTCCCAAGACCAAACCAGGAAGAAATTGAATCTCTGAATAGACCAATAACAGGATCTGAAATTGTGGCAATAATCATTAGCTTACCAACCAAAAAGAGTCCAGGACCAGATGGATTCACAGCCGAATTTTACCAGAGGTACAAGGAGGAACTGGTACCATTCCTTCTGAAACTATTCCAATCAATAGAAAAAGAGGGAATCCTCCCTAACTCATTTTATGAGGCCAGCATCATTCTGATACCAAAGCCAGGCAGAGACACAACCAAAAAAGAGAATTTTAGACCAATATCCTTGATGAACATTGATGCAAAAATCCTCAATAAAATACTGGCAAACTGAATCCAGCAGCACATCAAAAAGCTTATCCACCATGATCAAGTGGGCTTCATCCCTGGGATGCAAGGCTGGTTCAATATACGCAAATCAATAAATGTAATCCAGCATATAAACAGAGCCAAAGACAAAAACCACATGATTATCTCAATAGATGCAGAAAAAGCCTTTGACAAAATTCAACAACCCTTCATGCTAAAAACTCTCAATAAATTAGGTATTGATGGGACGTATTTCAAAATAATAAGAGCTATCTATGACAAACCCACAGCCAATATCATACTGAATGGGCAAAAACTGGAAGCATTACCTTTGAAAACTGGCACAAGACAGGGATGCCCTCTCTCACCACTCCTATTCAACATAGTGTTGGAAGTTCTGGCCAGGGCAATTAGGCAGGAGAAGGAAATAAAGGGTATTCAATTAGGAAATGAGGAATTCAAATTGTCCCTGTTTGCAGACGACATCATTGTATATCTAGAAAACCCCATTGTCTCAGCCCAAAATCTCCTTAAGCTGATAAGCAACTTCAGCAAAGTCTCAGGATACAAAATCAATGTACAAAAATCACAAGCATTCTTACACACCAACAACAGACAAACAGAGAGCCAAATCATGAGTGAACTCACATTCACAATTGCTTCAAAGAGAATAAAATACCTAGGAATCCAACTTACAAGGGATGTGAAGGACCTCTTCAAGGAGAACTACAAACCACTGCTCAAGGAAATAAAAGACATACAAACAAATGGAAGAACATTCCATGCTCATGGGTGGGAAGAATCAATATCATGAAAATGGCCATACTGCCCAAGGTAATTTACAGATTCAATGCCATCCACATCAAGCTACCCATGACTTTCTTCACAGAATTGGAAAAAACTACTTTAAAGTTCATATGGAACCAAAAAAGAGCCCACATCGCCAAGTCAATCCTAAGCCAAAAGAACAAAGCTGGAGGCATCACACTACCTGACTTCAAACTATACTACAAGGCTACAGTAACCAAAACAGCATGGTACTGGTACCAAAACAGAGATATAGATCAATGGAACAGAACAGAGCCCTCAGAAATAACGCCACATATCTACAACTATCTGATCTTTGACAAACCTGAGAAAAACAAGCAAGAGGGAAAGGATTCCCTATTTAATAAATGGTGCTGGGAAAACTGGCTAGCCATATGTAGAAAGCTGAAACTGGATCCCTTCCTTACACCTTACACAAAAATCAATTCAAGATGGATTAAAGACTTAAACGTTAGACCTAAAACCATAAAAACCCTATAAGAAAACCTAGGCATTACCATTCAGGAGATAGGCATGGGCAAGGACTTCATGTCTGAAACACCAAAAGCAATGGCAACAAAAGACAAAATTGACAAATAGGATCTAATTAAACTAAAGAGCTTCTGCACAGCAAAAGAAACTACTATCAGAGTGAACAGGCAACCTACAAAATGGGAGAAAATTTTCGCAACCTACTCATCTGACAAAGGGCTAATATCCAGAATCTGCAATGAACTCAAACAAATTTACAAGAAAAAAACAAACAACCCCATCAAAAAGTGGGCGAAGGACATGAACAGACTCTTCTCAAAAGAAGACATTTATGCAGCCAAAAAACACATGAAAAAATGCTCATCATCACTGGCCATCAGAGAAATGCAAATCAAAACCACAATGAGATAACATTTCACACCAATTAGAATGGCAATCATTAAAAAGTCAGGAAACAACAGGTGCTGGAGAGGATGTGGAGAAATAGGAACACTTT
The DNA here is from genome assembly GCF_000001405.40 of Homo sapiens. Classification (NCBI taxonomy): domain Eukaryota; kingdom Metazoa; phylum Chordata; class Mammalia; order Primates; family Hominidae; genus Homo; species Homo sapiens. The sequence continues at coordinate 102,753,511 of NC_000006.12, read as the reverse complement.
TACACTGTTGGTGGGACTGTAAACTTGTTCAACCATTGTGAAAGTCAGTGTGGCAATTCCTCAGGGATCTAGAACTGGAAATACCATTTGACCCAGCCATCCCATTACTGGGTATATACCCAAAGGACTATAAATCATGCTGCTATAAAGACACATGCACACGTATGTTTATTGCGGCATTATTCACGATAGCAAAGACTTGGAACCAACCCAAATGTCCAACAATGATAGACTGGATTAAGAAAATGTGGCACATATACACCATGGAATACTATGCAGCCATAAAAAATGATGAGTTCATGTCCTTTGTAGGGACATGGATGAAATTGGAAATCATCATTCTCAGTAAACTATCACAAGAACAAAAAACCAAACACCGCATATTCTCACTCATAGGTGGGAATTGAACAATGAGATCACATGGACACAGGAAGGGGAATATCACACTCTGGGGACTGTTGTGGGGTGGAGGGAGGGGGGAGGGATAGCATTGGGAGATATACCTAATGCTAGATGACGAGTTAGTGGGTGCAGTGCTCCAGCATGGCACATGTATACATATGTAACTAACCTGCACAATGTGCACATGTACCCTAAAACTTAAAGTATAATAATGATAAAATTAAAAAAAGAAGCAATTAAAAAAAAAAAAAAAGAAAAAATTACGAAGATCACTAATATTTGATGAGCAAATGGTATAAAAAGACTTTTAGAAATAATTTTCCCTACAAAGGAAATTCTAAAATTTCAATATAATTTTTTTCTAAAACATTTATGTTTAGGTAATATTACCTACACTAGGGAAGAGGTAAACTCTAACACTGAGAAACTGTTTATCACTTTACATCAGGAAAAGGTAGATTTTCTTTTATTTTTTTGTCCAGTTTACAGTCTTGATTTTATCCATGAACTAACTAAACCTCAATGAATAAGTAAAATTTTCATAATATTTTTAAATTCTTCATCTCATTTATGCTTTGAAGTGACCACGTGATATAAGATTTACAATCTTATTTTTACGAGAATGTAAATGCCTTACTTATGGATACATAGGCATAACTTAGTCTGAAATATGGTTTTTTAAATTCAGTTCTTTTGTGATATGTGTTATATGTTTGTTGTACATATTTGTTATATTTGCTATGATATCTCCGTATTTAATTCATGGTCTGATTTCACAAATGATCAACAGTAAAACATATGCCGCCAGTGCCATTTTTTTCTTTTTTTTTTTTTTTTTTTGAGATGGAGTCTCACTCTGTCTCCCAGGCTGGAGTGCAGTGGCACCATCCCGGCCCACTGCAACCTTCGCCTCCCCAGTTCAAGCGATTCTCCCACCTCAGCCTCCTGAGTGGCTGGGATTACAGGCGCCAACCACCATGCCCAGCTAATTTTTGTATTTTTAGTAGAGACGGGGTTTCGCCATGTTGGCCTGACCTCAGGTGATCTGCCCACCTCAGCCTCCCAAAGTGCTGAAATTACGGGCATGAGCCACTGCACCAGGCCCACCAGTGCCATTTTAATACACATTTATAAAAGCACATAACTGTGATAAACACTTCAATGAAGTAATTTTAATACACATTTATAAAAGCACATAACTGTGATAAACACTTCAATGAAGTAAATCAAGAATGGCAATATGTATGTTTTGACATTATTATTTATTTGTATTAATATTCTTTCACATTAAGAGTAATTATTATTATTGCTATTATTATTATTATTTTGAGGTTTGTTTTTGCTCTGTCACTTATGCTGGAGTGCAGTGGTAAGATAATGTCTCACTGCAGCCTCCAACTCTTGGGCTCAAGTGATTCACCCATCTCAGCCCCCCAAGTAGCTGGGACTACAGGCATAAGCCACTATGCCTGGCAAGGAGTAATTTATATATATATTATTCTATTATATTAATTATATCAAATATATGGGCAAGATCCTCAATGAGGGTACACTAAAGGTAAAATAATTAAAAGTGTTTTAAAGTGAAGAACTATGGACTAGAATTTGTGAGAGCTTATTTTAGGACTTCTGTTTCTATCAATATGAAAATAGTGAATGCTGTAAACTTCCTAACAAATAATCTCTAAAAGTTCTTGAAGTTATATTTAAAACATCATTTTTCTTTCACAGCCTGAAAGAAAGTTTTAAGAATATTCTAAAACAAGGGAAAAGTGTTTGAAGACATGAGACATTTATGCCTAGAGCATCAGTGGGTTCAGAACAAAAAATATTTGAACCATTCAGGCTTTGGAGTTGAATGCAATTCAATAACAAGTAAACTAACTAACTGAGAAAATCAATATATAAATAAATAAAAGAAAAAGACGGTCCAAGAGGAACAGTCTGGGACATGAAGGGTAGAGTGAATAAAAGGACTTATTGACTTAGTTAGTCTAAATAAACATTGATGTTTTAAAACAAGAATAACAGCAATTAGACATAGGTTGACATTGTTCTATAATATTTACTAAATATCTAGTAATATTTCTTTGTCTAGATACTTTAGTTGTGTCTCTTGTCAAATCCAATTATCTGCTTACAAGAGAAACACCTAAAACTCACCTGGATGAAGAAACATTAGTAGAAAGATATGCCAAGCAAGTACTACCTAGAGGAAAATTGGTAAAACTGATGCAAGTGAATCCCAAAACTGGGGCTAGGCCCAGGAGGGTAGACAGCCAACAAAGTAAAGTGAAAGCAAAGCAAATTTATTAGAGCAACAGAGCAGAAGAACATGGCTGCTCCATAGACAGAGCAGGGTTACCCCATAAGTAGAGTAGCACTCATGGATTGCTGGCTGGCTATATTTATACTAACTCCTTCCTTTATGGTAAATAAGGGGTGAGTTATTCATTGATATTCTAGAAAAGAGGGGCTAATTCTCAGAACCAAGATTTCCTTCCCATTTAAACCACATAAGGTAAGTTCTGGGCATTGCCTTGGCATTTGTAATCTGTCATGGGACTGGTAGGAGTGTCTTTAGCAAGCTAATTCATTATAATTAGCATATAATGAGCAATGAGGGCAACTAGAGGTTGCTTTCACCACCATCTTGGTTTTAGCTGGTTTTAGTAGGTTTTAGTAGGTTTCTTAACTGCATCCTGTTTTGACCAGATCCTGTTTTGATCAGCAGGGTAGTGAATGGTGTGCAGAATACAAGTCCTGCTCATCTCTTACCCAAAAATTATTAATATCATTCAAAACAGACACTCATTCAGAAACCACCATTAAAGTTGAAAATATACAATACATAATATTAAAAGGCCAATGTGGTAAGCAGAATATTGCCCACTCCAAAGATGTCCACATTATAATTCTTATATCCAATGAACATGTTATATTGCACATCAAAGGTGAATTTAGGTTGCAGATAAAATTAAAATTGCTAATCAGATGACCATAAAAGAGGGAGATCATCCTGTATTATTTGGGTGGACCAATGTAATCATGCAATTTTAAAATGGAAGCAAAAGAAAATTACAGAAAGATTTGTGAAGATGCAAGCAGGGTGAGAGATATATTATGCTTCTAGCTTTGAAGATGAAGGATGGGAGCTACTCGCCAAGCAATGTGGGTGGTGGTAGAAGCTGGAAAAGGCAGTGAAATAGATTTCCCCTACAGCTCCCAGAAGGGAACACAGCTAAGCTGACAGTTTGATTTAGTCCAGATACCCATGGTAGACTTCTAACCTACAGAACTGTAGGATAACAAATTGATGTTTTTTTAAGCCATTAAGTCTGTGGTAATTTGTTATAACAGCAACAGAAAACAAACACAACTAGAATGATATTATAGAGATTACAGAATTAAAATTTACAGAAGTATACAGATCAAGTGACATGTAACAGACTTACTCTCAGGGTAACTAATGCACTCCCTGGATAACTCATTAATTTAATTATTCAATAATTCATGAATGGATTACTCTATTTATGAGGGCAGAGCTATGATGATCCAGTCTCCTCCCCAAAGTCCCATTTCTCAACACTTAGGCAAGTTTTAAACACATAAAATTTGGTGAGACACATTCAAGCAGTAGCATATGGGTAATTTTTTTTTTTTTTTATTGAATCAGGAGGCTCATGTTTTCTCTCACCATTTAAAAAACTGTGACTTACCATGGCTTTTCAGCTTGCAAACAGGGTGAAATCTCAGATCTTCACAGTAGTTAACTGTTCTGGAGCCAATTTGCGCTGACTTGGAAGAGCTGGTAAGGTACAATTCTTCCTAACTCTGGATTCAGTTACATTGCATTGGTAGATTAAACTTGGCCATGTTGTGAATATTCACACCATGGAAATTGGCCAACACTACAAATTATGTTTTTTTTTTTTTTTTGGTGGTTGTTGTTTCGTTTGTTTGTTTTCCCTGGAGAGTTCCTATTAAAAATTTACCAGCTCAACAAGGAACTAGGGACAAATAGAATCCTGAATGATGATAGCACTTTTACACATTTGAATAAGGATTTAAAATATTCCATACAGAAAACAATAGAATGAGGAATTTTACAATTGAAGTCTGTCAAATAATCAAGATTCACCAAAAAAAACCTCTTTCAGATAATAGTAAAAAGAGGGAAGACTCCCCAAATTATTCTGAGATTAATGTGAATTTCAGTATAAATACCATGATAAATGAAAACTAATTTCACTTATGTTTGTATATACAAATATCCTAAACACATAAAGTGAATCAATTTTAAAAGTGTGGCAGAAAAAGATAATATAGCATTAATATGTTTTCATTATTCTACAAACGAACTGTCACAGAATGTTAGCACTTGAAATATCTGAAAATAATTTATCACATGAATGGTGAAAATTAAAACAATAAAATTATCTCAATTGATGCATTTGCTAGAATTCACTATTAAATCATGATTTTTTTCAAAAAGCAGGAAACAGAACAAATTGCAACATCTTTAAACTAACAAATGATGGCTTCCAAAATATTGCAGGAACCATCATTTTTCATGTCTGTATATAAAAGAAATCTCATAAAAATCAGTACATTGTGAGGCTTGCTATAACCAATTATATTCGATGCTCTACAGAAGTTTTAATCTGTGCAGTATGAAAACTGTAAAAAAGTGATAGGAATTACAAGAATTTAATTATCATTGTTTAGAAGTGCTACAGTTGCCTACATGGAGAACCCAAAGGACCTACTGACAAATGATTAAAGTTAATTAAGGTAGCACAGCAAATTTACAAAACATAAAGTCGATATCCAAATATTAGTTATATTTGTATATACTAGCTACAATTAGTAAATTATTCTGGCTGCTCGAATTCTAGAGAATCATCCATATGTAGGGTGACCATGTAACTTATTCAAATGGAAGCAATTGTAAGAGCAAAAACAGAAGTACTTATTAATCAATAATGGACTCCAGCAAGTCAAGAGAGATGGAATCCTTAACTAAAGTCAACATGTAAAAAAAGCAGTTACAGGCCAGGCATGGTAGCTCACAGCTGTAATCCCAGCAATTTGGGAGTCCAAGGCAGGCAGATCACATGAGGCTGGGAGTTCGAGACCAGCATGGAGATTTCTCCAACATGGAGAAATCTCTTCTCTACTAAAAATACAAAATTAGCCGGGCATGGTGGTACATGCCGATAAGTCCAGCTACTCGGGAGGCTGAGGCAGGAGAATCGCTTGAACCCGGGAGGTGGAGGTTGCGGTGAGCCGAGATCACCCATTGCACTCCAGCCTGGGCAAAAAAAGTGAAACTCCGTTTAAAATAAATAATAAATAAATAAATAAAAATAAAATTAATTAAAATTTTTTTAAAAAGCAGTTATAGTATTATTGAAATCATGCGTATGATTTGCAACAGGGTAGTTGCAATGGTATAGATGCAAAGTAGTCAGATATCAAGCATATTTTCAAGATAGAGTGAAGAGGATTAGAAATAAGACATTCTGTTTTTCAAAATAGAGTAAAAAGGTACTCAAAATTTGAGAAGTATTGTACCACATATAAAGCAAAGAATTTTTTCTAAATGTATAGAGCCCTAAATAAATTTAAAATGGCAAAATGTAATCAAGAAAAAATAATAATTATTACACAAGAGAAAACATATGAAAAGATTTTTATATAAAAATACATTCGACTTCATTTGTAAACACCAGAATGCATATTTAAAATTGATTGAGATGGATTTCCATCATGCTACACAAGATTGGACTAGTCCTTCCTCCAGAAACAACTAAAAAATATAAATAAAATGTATGAAACAATGTTTTCAGAGGTTGAACAACAGGTATTCAGGACTGTAATCCCTCAGAGAAGCCAAACAAAGAATCCCATGCCTGTCCGGTTTTCTATCCAGCGGTGTTTACCAGCGCTGGAGAGGGGAGGGGTCATCCATGTAGGGCACAATAGTCTCACAGATCAGCTTAGAAGAAAGAGCTTCAAAAATCTACATAGGAGTTCCCACAAGTCTTTGACTAAATTCTAAGCTGCCTATACAGCTACTAAGCCGTTGGAGCTTCATTAAATTCAGAAGAACAAAATAAGAATGATGGCTAATGTCTCATCATGAAAATACGCAGGCCAAAAGGTATTGACTGGCATGGCATCTAAAAGTACTGGGGGGAAAACATCTGTCACCTTAAACTTTATATGGAAACACACCCAGACACACACACACATACACACACACACACACCATAGAAAATGAAGCTGATTATGGGTAATTGACAAAAACTGGAAACAGCTCAAATGATCATTAACAACTGAATAGGATAATGACCTATGGTGTAACTATATAATGGAATACTTCTCAGCAATAAAAAAGCAGACTACTGAAACACTCAACAATATGGATCAATCAAAAAATCATTATGCAAAGTTAAATAAGTCAAGCAAACAAGAGTACAAGAGTACATAGGCATTATTCCACTTATTGTGAATATCAAATAATCAGTTCCATCGATCATAGTCAGGGTTATCCCAAAATAAGAAAAGGGGACTTGTCCTCTGTGCTTCCAAATCAACTAGACATTCCCCTGGGCATCGCTGAGGAGACCGCTACCTGTGAGCCTTCAGTTGCGGTAAAAAGTGCCTGAGTCCTGAAGGGAGATTCCTGACAGGACACCACAGCAACCACTAGAGCAATGGCTTTTTTGGTTTGGTTTTGCTTTGTTTTGCTTTTTGATTGTAGGTTCTAGGTTAATTTTTAAATAGCTTTGTTTCATTGTGCCTACATTCCTTGTATGTTTCAATTATCTTCACATTTTTAAAAAAGAATACATCTTAGGAATTCACATCAACATCATATGGGTCAGAGAAAATCAGTGTTCACAAAAGGAAATGTGCACTGTTCCCTATTATATGAGCAAGGCACACATTAGAACCAGAAATCGAACCAATTAGAAGACATTACATATATAACTATAGATCCACATTCTGAAAATTAGGTGCATGAAATATGAAACAATGTGAAGATGTATACTTTAATAGAATAGAAAATGTGTAAGGCCACAGTATATTTTAGAAATATGATAATGGATGAGAACTTCAATTCATGACTGAATGCCATTTTTTGTGTCACTTATAATTTCACAGGTAATGTTACATGAATTCTCACCTCCATGGCTCATAGCATTCTGTGAAACTCCCTTGGTTTTGCAGGCCTTTTCAAAGACTTAGAGGCAAATGTAAATAATGTGTTTTAATGATTGATGTTTTGAAATCCTATGAAGTTCAGAATGAGATTTACTAAGAAAGATACTTGGTTTAATTAAGGATAGATACTGCATATAAAAGCACCAGGATTGAAGTATTGAATGTCTGTGTATTCTTGATAAGCACTTTTTTTCATCTGTCAAATGAAGAAGACAGGATCATGCTTTATACTGTGCTAATGGATTTTCTCTCTGCTAACAAACTCAAAGCTTGAAGTAAAGGAAAAATTGCTACATATCCCCATTTCCATGATATCCATATCCACTTCCCTGTTATTTTATTCTCAAATGCAGATTTGAAATATTATCATTTATGGTTTATGCTTGAGGTTATGTTGTGTGATTAAAGAACAAACTAGACTGGAAAACCATATATTTATCCTTTCCCTTTATAAAGCTACTACGTGCTTTCAGAAAAATAATTTGGTTTAAAATTGACAGTTTTAAAATTTACATGGTACTTATTTGAAGAACTTATATGAAATAAAAAGATAAAGAATAATATAAGAACAATATGATACCAAACATTAGATAAGGCTATATTGTATTTGTCCTTTTAATTAAATTTTAAATGGGCAAATTTAAAAGGCAATAAATTTAAACGTTTAAAAAGTGGCTTGTAAATAAAATGTATTTTTTTATTCTGTCTTTCAGTGGAAAACTGAAGTTTCTATTTTTATTTTTCTTGAAATTTCATCTCAATACTTATCTAATAATCTACATATATATGCAGATATGAAACCTATTCTTTGTTTTGCATTGAGAAATACAAGCAAATGATTCTAAGACGATAACTGGTACTCTAATAAATATGGAAAATACATAGAAGTAGAAGAGGAAATAACTAAATTTTAGAAAGGAAGGACTCAAGACAGGCATCTCAGTACCATCAGGCAATTTTTTATTTTTATTAAAAATAGTATCAAAGTAATACGTACTCAAAAGCTTGTGATCCAAAGAAACAGGCTTCTGCTGCACACCTCCTCACCTCCAAGGTTATTCTCCCAAGGCAATCACCTTCATATATTTCTAGTTTTATTTCTTCTGATGTTTAAACTCTAAAACTCTAATCCCTAGAACTCTAAAGTCTAATGTCTCTGGACAATATCTATTGACTCTATAATAAAAAAAATGAGAATTTAGTGCACTTATCTTAATCTTCTTGCTATTTCCCTTTCCCAAACTTGATAGCTGTATTATTACTTTTAGCTCTTCTTTTATAGGGAAAACCTTAAACCTTTTACTTTTATTTCTGTATGCTTTTCAGCCACATAGCTCTTTATTTCAGCCATTTATCTCTTCACTGTATTGTCATGTAAACATACATATATGTATTTTAAAATCTATGGAGAATATGAAAGATTCTTTAATTATAATTTTAAAAGTTAAAATTAATATTTTTGAAGCAAATATTTCTAGAAAAGAATAAAAAGCCCTTTCCTTCAAATACGATTTTCAAAAATAAACACGACACACTTGTATAATATTTCTAAATGTTTGGTATGTACACAAGCATATGTATGGATGCATTATTATATAACTAGTCTTATATGGTTAGTCTTTTGTTTCTATTGTTTTCCCTTCGTAGTCAAATTAACAATAAAAAATCTTTTGTAACTATATATAGTTTGCAAATGTTTTACGATATACTTTTAGGAACAGAAATGGTGAGTCAAGACATATATGCATTTTATATTTTCACAGACATTTTAAAATTGCCCTCTAAAATGTATGTGTCAATTTACAATGTCATTACTTATACTCTCATGTCTTATAATAAATTATTTTCCCCTTTTTGATCTGATAAGCAAAACAATTCATCACGTTTTTGCTTTAGATTTCATGTGCTTAATTTTTAGTGAGGGTAAATAACTTTTCATGGACTTATTGCGTATTTCTCTTCCTTTTATGAACTCTCTATCCATAAACCTGTTTTTGAGTTACTTTTACAATAAATATTAAAATTTATTTTATTTCTAAGAATTGCCATTTTTAAATTTGCCTATTTAAAAATTGAAAGAGTAAATATAATATAGCATTCCATAATGTTTTGATATCATATTGCTCTAATACTATTATCTTTTTATTTTGTGTGTGGTCTTAAATAAGTACGGTGTAAATTTTAAAACTGTTAATTTGAAACCAAATCATTTATTAGCAGACTTGTATTAATATGAGTTACTGAGTAGAGTGGGAGCTTTCAAAGTTTGTTGTTAAGAGGAGACCACTAGAGTCTATTAGGTTAACAATTTAAGTTAATTGTGTTAATTGCCTGACATTATCAATTATGCAAATTCAAATAAGGGCCATTTCAGCAGAACTAGCATTAAAAATTTCACATCCACTTCTGAAAGCTCTTTTCTTCCACCCTGGTTGCCCCAGATTGCACATAAAAGGAAGGAAGAAGAATCACCTCTGAGCATAAAGCAGTAAGCACCATTACAGAAAGGGAGACATATTCCTCTTCCCGCTAATGCAATCACTTTTCACAGTAGTTTCTCCTAAGTTAGAGAGATTCTGATTGTACCTCCTCTAAAAGTAAGAGAACCCATGACTCAGGAGAGTGCTGCTTTATCTTGAAAAATGTGTCTGAAGAGAGACAGTGTAGTTGATGCGGGGGGCAGGGTACCAGCTGAGAAGTTTATTTTCCCATCCACCTTCAGTTTTGCAACTTACGGACTTTCCCTGAGAGTCAAATAGACACATAAAATTTAAATTATCCTCCATATACTCACAAACAGGGTTGCCTGCTGGGTGAACAAAATGCTAGAAATATTGTGTAATATGCAAACTGAAGTCTGAAAGAAAAAGGAGAAAAAGCCTCAATAATCGTTCCCATACATGCAGACTGAGCCCTGCAAGAAACCAAGAACTATAAATTTACGAGACAGCCAGGGTTTGTGTGGTTGCCTCACAAAACCTGTAGTGTCTAGATTCACGTCTCATCTTGTAAAGAATGAATGCAGGAAAATTAGATATATTTAATTTTGAAGTATTCGTGAAAAAAATCATTCTCACCTATTTTCAATATGTCTATTTAAAATAGTCACTCAATCAAATCACAGGAAAAAGGGTAGCAATTCTCACGGAAACATAATTTTAACAACCTGAGCTAAAAATTGAACCATGGATAGCTAATCTTTAAGTCAAATACTTTAACGCTTCATCTCATTTTCCCTATTTTCACTTTTATCCAAGCCCCTTTTATTTATTACAACATGTGCATTGCATTGCAATCCAGAGGTCAAACTAATATTTAAGGAGAAAAGCAAAAATAAAAATACATGACATAAAAATAAATAACGCTTCTTTTCTGTCTGCAAGATCAGTTTATATCCAGCCAGAAGTTTGTTGTTCCAGATAATACCCGTCAAATGTTGAAAATATATACCGACATAGTGCCTAGAGCTTTAGATAAGAATAGTTCTAATTGTATGAATGCAAAACTACATTGCTCTATCCTAGAAAACTTTCTCTAGGCTTCTCTATTTGCTAGACAATGAATGTAAACACTTAATGTTTATTGAGCAGGATTTATGAAGCTGTCAGTGAACTGACACATGGCAATAAAATGTATTGTGGCTGGAGCCTAGATAATCTGCAGCTGAATGAATTACGTTAATTCTGGTGCTTGCATATTCATGCTATGGAAATAGTTCTTGTAACAGATTTCTTCATTGTCTGCAGGTGTTACAGCGTGGTTAGAAGTAGAGTTAATTGCACTCTAGGACTTGTGGGAATTCACACGTCCCTGGAATTGGCTTGTTTTCTGGAAGAGTATTCATGATTTGTGTAAGGAAGCCAACACACTCATAATTAAATGATCACAACTGCAAACACTTAACTTTTGAAAAGGTATTTAAAATACATATAGGTATTTCTTAGTATTATGTTAATATTAAAATTTTATCTTCATCCACCTTCCAGTTAACACATACATTTGTATTCCAAATTTAACATCACTTGATAAAATTAAAAGCTTTGATTATGCTTCTACAGTTAAGCTATATGCATAGTTGCTATACCTCCTAGATAAATAAGATTACCTAGTTTTGTAAACTTAATTAGAAGAGATGTTCTCTCTCATGGGGCATAATTAAAAGTAAAGTGTTTTATTTACTTCAGCAGAAAATACATTAGAGCATCTCTGAAAGGAGAGAAATTAATCATAGAAAAGATGCACATATTATTTCATTACAGTGACCCAGTGTTCACAACTGCATTTCAGGGTTTATTTGGAAAAGTGTGTCAATTTTCTGAATTTTACATTGGGCAATAATTAGATAATTGTTGATGTTATTGTTAATTTTTTAAAAATTTAGATTTATGTTTTTTTCATCCAAAGTCTGTTTTTATCCAAGTCCCATTTATTTTTTCTGTTGCAGATCTTACTTGCCCTAGAGATATTTTTCTTTGATGGGTTCTTCTGTTTAACAGCAGCAAATATTTCAAGAACTATTGGTAGAGCAATATACTACGTATAAGGGAAGCAGAAAAAAAAATTGTCATACTGTAAATAAGATAAAGGTAATAATATGTATAAAATTATAGGAATTTATAGGCAAATAGAAAAATCAGTACATTATGCCATCTTGAGAAATGAAATCATGTTTTCTGGAAAAGGTGATACTAGACCTCAATCGAAGGGAAAAAAGCCATTAACTTCTATCTAAATGAAGAAAATATTATATTTATGTAGAGCAATGGCATTGTTAAGATGATGGAGATTCAAGGTGGTAAGTTATGGAAAACTCTAAGTATGTTAAAATGGTATTGGAGAAGAATGTACATAGGATTAAAGCAGAAAATAACTTGAGAGATTAGAATAAATAATGGACCATAAATCTCATGCTAATGAATTTGAAAGGGATGCAAACAGTGACATTGAAGACTATCTGAAAAAGAAATCTACAAATCTCTTAAATCCGCAAATCTACCTGACAACTACGTAGAGGATGAATAAGTAAAAAAGAGGGAGGGTCATCAATACTGGAGCCAGGTAGATTCATCAGGGGAAAACATTTAATATATTAAATGCTTCTATTGTAATATCAAAGTGAAAATTTTTAGAGTTAGCATTTTTATTTCTTGTTAGAATATATTTTATATATTTTGGTATAATATATGTATTGATATAATTAATATAGTTATTGCTGTATCATATTAATATAATTAATATTTCTAAAAACTGTTTTTTATTTCCTAAGTATATTCATGTGTGAGGTAAATAGCCAGTGTGCCTAAATTTTAATTTAACTTGAGCTAGAAAACAAGTTTTGTACTGCTTCCAACAAAATTTGAATGTAAAAATTATATGAATAAAGAACTATAACCTGTAAAAAACATTGGACCATAAAGTAGAAGTTGCCAGCACAGCCATAACATTTACTTTTCTGTCGGGATTTTCATTTTTAATGAGAATTAGTCAGGTGAAGAAAGTAACAGAAATGCATTGAGGAACAATGAAGATCACCAACACTTTTTTTTTTTTTTCTGAGTTCTCAAATTGTGTTAGGATTGTGGATTTTGGGAAGAGATTCTTTGAGGTATCTATGACACTAATTTTGTGTTTATTATGCAATGCTATATATTTAAAAATAAAGTAAAATAAAAGCACAAAATAATTACTAAGGATAAAATAGCAAATACATTTTAAAATATCAATATGTAATATAAACATAATATATAATTAATAATATAAATATAATTGTTTACATTGACATTTCAAATACATATTTAATATATTAAAACATTTTCAAAATGAAATCAATCTCAAATGTATTTTGTATGACATAGGATAGAATCTTAATAACACAGTTCTTAATTTTATTTCCAATATAAGTTGCAATTATTTCTTTAGAAATTAATGTTAAACTGAGTGTCACTGGAGAATGCTCTATAAACTAATGTTATAGAAGTTCTATCTGACTCACACAGCAAACATTTTAAACTGTAGTAAATATATAAACAAGACACAAATGAATATTTTCCCCAGTTTCTTTCTTTTCATAGATTGGTTTCTTCAGTATCAACTAATATTGACTCTTCAACATAAACTCAAAGCAAAATATATGTCATATTTTTACAGTGATATGTCACTTCATATGTATCTGTGACTAATTTTAAAATGTTTCACTAAAGGTTGTTTTTTCCAAGGTTTCATTACTTCATTTTTGGGACAGTTTATTTGATTGTTGGACCTTCTTCATCAAGTAATAAACCTTCAAAAACTTTGAGGCAACAAAACGAGCATATTTAAGCTTTTGGATCAATATTCCTTGAAATATATTTATTATCAGTTAACCTAATGCTTTAAACAGTCAAACCAACAAAGTATTTAAAAGATACTCAAATAAATCATTAAGCATTATTAGAGTGTATAAAATTCAAATTTAATTGTATTTATTGGGTGTTGGTGACATTGATTTTCTTATTCCACATTCATTTGTCAAGCACTACTATTAAGTGCCAGGAACTGGTCTAGCAATTAAGACACATCAGGGAAAAAACAAAAAAACATGCCTACCCATTTTTTTTTTTTGGCGTTTTTAAGAGATCTTACAAATTTGAGATCAAATTTGTACACAAGCGTAAGAGATTCTGTGTAACTGCTTACTATAATTTAAAGGACATCTTAGATATTTATCATATATTTGGCTCTTATAAGACTTCATTTGTATGTCTTCAAAGCCCACTGGAATTTGAAAAGGCCACAATGCTTTGTTACTAGAAAACTATATATATCCTTTGAACATTTTCTAGTGTAATGCAGGCACAATTTTATCACATTAATTTTACCACATTATTTTTGTAATTAACTTTTGTTGAGTTCAGTTTCATCATGTTACTTAAGATTGTTTAAAATATTTGTTTGACTTATTAAAGCAGATTAGAAATGGGCAATTAAAATGGCTGTTTTATTATACCAGAAATGTATCATAATTAATGGCTCAGTTATAGGTTGATCAATGTATTGTTAGGACCAGTTTTACAGAGAAATTTATGTTATTTTTATATTAGTTCAAACTAATTATATAATATTCTATTTACTATTTATACCTTAACACTTAAAATGTGTTTCTCATCCTCCAAGTGAAAGTTATTTAGACTTACAACTTTATTCTCAATAATCTTACGTTTTCTTTAAAATCATTCTTTATGATTATTAATTTTATGTTTCACAACGAATGGCTAAAATTTACCTCAAAATGATTATTTAAATACATAATTACATATTTTCAGTAATTGTGGACATTTTAACTGTATCTAAATTACTTTATTTGTGCCATTTTCTACCAGGGTTTTTTTTTGTTTGTTTTTTTTGGAAGTGCATTAACATTATACCAGAGTTTAAAATTGTGTTTGTTTGTGTGTGTATGTGTGAAAACACTTTTGCATGCATGCAACATGTGTGATTTGGGCTTAATGTTAGCGTCTTAATAATGAAGAGTTTTCCATTAAGTGATAAAAGTATTGTGAGTTCAGAAGATCCTCAGTTTTTCTCTCCATTTTGCCAACTCAGATAGTTAGTTGTATGACCTCATTTTCCTTGAGAAATTGAACCTTAACGTTTAAAAAATAAATACATTATTCTTACTAGGCTTCTGGGACAACATTTATTTTTGAATTTTATCTTTTATTGTTTTGTGGCAGCCTCTAATGGCATGCCTTGACAAAAAAATCCAATAGCTTAGTGTTAAAAAGGTGACAGAGGTCTGCGCGCCGTTGCTCACGTTTGTAATCCCAACAGTCTGGGAGCCAGAGGGGGGCGGATCACTTTAGGTCAGGAGTTTGAGACCTGCCTGGCCAACATGGTGAAACTGCCTCTCTACTAAAAGTAAATACAAAAATTAGCCGGGCGTGGTGGCACGCATCTGTAGTCCAGCTACTTGGGAGGCTTAGGCAAGAGAATTGCTTGAATTCAAGGAGGTGGAGGTTCCAGTGAGCGGAGACGTTGCCATTGCACTCCAGCCTGGGCTAGAGAGCAAGATGGTGAGAGAGCAAGACAGTGAGACAGCGTCTCAGAAAAAAAAAAAAAAAAAAAAAGGAAGAAATATAAAAATTGATAAATGTACAGCTCTGAGTAACTCCCTTTCTTGTAATTAGTTACATCCTTGAGCACTAACATGACTCTGCTCCCCTTCTAATGTTATAAAATGCAGCATTCCTGGCTCCCTTACTCCTTCATCCCGGGAAGTTTCTCATTTCCTGGAGAGTGTGTCCTGCCTGTTGGAATACACTTGTTCCATTACAAAAAATTTTAGAGACATTGGTGAGCTTCTGCATCCATTTATTTACATCTTATTTTGTATTTCCTCTGTCCTATTGTTCATTGGTGTAGAAATA
Organism: Homo sapiens; assembly: GCF_000001405.40. Lineage (NCBI taxonomy): Eukaryota > Metazoa > Chordata > Mammalia > Primates > Hominidae > Homo > Homo sapiens. The sequence continues at coordinate 102,737,471 of NC_000006.12, read as the reverse complement.
AATTGAAGTGAAATCACCAATAAAACAAATCGGAGTCATCATTATCACCAATTATCAATTCTACATTGGCTTTTTTGGATCTGGTCTAAGAGCTCCTTCTCAGATTAGCTTTCTAGTCCTTTTCCATGTTGCTCAAACTTCACTACTGGAGCTGTAGCAGGCATCTAAATAATTTCTGAATGATATCATCTAGCCCAATGACTTTAAATAGCATCTGTGTATTTACTATTCCCAAATTTAATTTCTAACCTCAACTTTGGCTTTGAAATCTAGTTTTAGTTATCCAACTATTTCCTCGACATTGCCACTTGAATATTTATTAGATGACTCAAACTTAATATGTGTATTAGTCAGGGTTCTCCAGAGGGACAGAACCAACAGGATATATGTATATGTAAAAGGGAGTTTATTAGAGAGAGCTGGCTCACATGATTACAATGCAAAGGCCTGCAGTAGGCCATCTGCAAGCTTGTGAAAGAGAGAAGCCAGTAGCATGGCTCAGTCCAAGTCTGAAAGCCTCGAAACCAGAGAAGCTGACAGTGTAGCCCTCAGTCTGAGTCCTAAGGCCTCAGAGCCCCTGGGAGGCTGCTGGTTAATGTCCCAGAGTCCAAAGGCTGAAGAACCTGGAGTTTGATGTCCAAGGTCAGGAGGAGGGGAAGCAAGTGTCCAAAACAGGAAGAGAGAGATCAAGAGGACTCACCAAGCTCCTTATCCCCCTTCTCCCAACTGCTTCCTTCTATCCATGCTGGCAGCAGATTGGATGGTGCCCACCCACATTGAGGGTGGGTCTTTCTTGCCCTATTCATTGACTCAGATGTCAGTCTCCTCTGGCAACACCCTTACAGGCACACCCAGAAACAATACTTTACCAGCCTTTTAGGCATCCCTCCATCCAGTCAAGTTGGCATCTAATGTTAACCTTTACAATATGTAAAACCCCAATTTCGTTCCTTCTTACCTACATCAATGCTACTCCTCCCTCAAGTTTTCCAACTCAGTAAGCAACAATGCCATTTTCACAGTTGTTTAGGACATAGACTTAGCCCATTTTTTTATTCTTACACCCTAAACCTAATACATCTGCAAGTTATTCTACCCAATATAGCACAAACATCTCAAATTTAATCATTGTTACCAATATCTTAATCATTCTAGCACAATCCATGATTATATGCCTTCTGGTCTACCCTAGTGGCTTTCTAAATGACCCTGTTGTTTGCACCCTTGAACCCCTACAGTAAATATTCCATATAGCAGCTTAGATGAATTTAAATATATATATGTATGTGTGTGTATATATATATGTATATATATATGTGTATATATATACATATATATATATATATAGGTCCACTTTGCTTGCACAAAACCTCCATTAATTTTTATTACAAGTAGGATATAATCCAAGGTATTTAATTTGACATATATAGGCTCCACATCAACTGACCTCTGGTAAATTTCTTCCTGGCTCACAACTCTCTAATCACACAAAATTCTTTGCTGATCCTATAACTTACACCACCACAGGACTTTACACATATTATTTCTTCTTTCTAGAATGCTCTTCTTTCATATATCTACATATCTAACTCACTCTACTAAATAATTCTATTATCCAAAGGCATTTCTTCAGTGAAATATTTTCTAATCATACTATCTAAAATGGCACACTTCCATCACTATCTTTTCCTGTACCTTGAATAGTTTATCTTCATATAGTACAATTCAATAATTAAATTTATATTATCCTTTTCACCATCTGTTGCTGCTGACACAAATTAAGATCGTACATAGTAGACATCCAATAAAAATTATTATTATTATTATTATTTTCTTTGAGATGGAGTCTTGCTCTGTCTCCCAGGATGGAGTGCAGTGGCGCAATCTTGGCTCACTGCAACCTCTGCCTCCCAGGTTCAAGCAATTCTTTGCTTCAGCCTCCCAAGTAGCTGGGATTACAGGCACCCGCCACCACGCCCTGCTAATTTTTGTATTTTTAGTAGAGACAGGGTTTCACCATCTTGGCCAGGCTGATCTTGAACTCCTGACCTCGTGATCCACCCGTCTCAACCTCCCAAAGTGCTGGGATTACAGACGTGAGCCACCGTACCCAGCCTAAAAAAATATTTAATTGTTAAATACATTATTTTTATAGTTACAGAAGAATTGTAGGATAATTGATAAAGATTCCTGTTTCTGTAATATTTGCAATAACCTGCTGACTTTCCTAGCCTCTGTAATGTGTCATAAAAAATCATAGTTATAACATGGTAGCATCAAAGATAATAAAGAAAAAGAAAACTACATCATTAATATCTTTTATTCTAGAAAACATTTGTATTTTTCCCTTATCCAAAGTAACTTATTAATGTATTGATCTAGGCGATAGTATATTTAAATCTTGCCTGCTGTAATTCTTGTATAACCGTTATGCTTTTAACATCTTTGTTCCCAAGACTTAGCAATATTTAAGAGTTTTAAAATAATCTTTGTGTTTCTAATGATAATAACTGATTTTTCATCACATATCAAAGTCTATTTTTGTTTTCCTATATTTTCTTCATAACAACTGTACTTGACAGTCATAAAAACCACTTGATGAAGCAATTTTATAATTTTTCAAATCTAAATTGCCACTGATTGTAAGATGGACTATTGTTTTATATATCACTAAGAAAAAAACGCATTGGAATAAATTATAGTGGACCGTCAACTTATGATACCTATTGATTGAGACTTGTTATATTGTAGAAAATGTACACTTTGAAATTGATACAATATCATAGTAAAATCCCTTAGTAATTATTTCTTGTGAAGATAGGAATTCTGAACAAAGAATGACACATTATTTAGGTAAACAAATTTTCTAAGCAAATACTAATTACTTAATATTTTCTTACCTGTCTTGTAATAAAATTAATTACTAGGGCTAGTTTTTTCACATGCAGTAGAGTCTTATTTGAATCTCTCCTAAGATCTAGAAGGCTCAGGACCAGGAACTTTTAGGTTTTATGAAAACACGTAAGTTTTGTGAAGAAAGACATGAAAGCAAGAATATGAGAGAAATAAAAATAGAACAGCATGAAATGCGATGCCTAACTAAATCTAGCCCCTTAATTAATGAGCTCAGACTAGTTAAGCCTAAGAAAATAGCTCTGTTTTATCCTAGAAAATCTGTAGGGCATATTTGGCAGATAAGGTATAAACAATGGTACTTTTTTGGTCTAAATGTGAGGCACGTATTTGAGTTTTTTGGTTTTTTTTTTTTTTTCTGTTTTGGTTTAGATTATAGCATGGCCCAGTTGAAGTAGAAACTGAATGGAAATGAGTGGGGCTTAGCACTTCCAAGGTTTTGCATGTTAGGTAACTCTCAACTCTCCCTCAGCAGGGAAACAGCTTTCTTCTCTGAGGGTGCCAGAAAAGCAGTATCCAGACACTGAAGAGATCACACAACTTGAGAGAAGTCTGCACGTTTTCAACAGAATCTTGTACTAGGAATATGCTCTGGAGAATATAGAGGGGTAGATGGAAGCAGACTTGTTTGTAAGCACAGGTGACTCCTGAGAGTCTCAGAAATGCTACTCATGGTCATTAAAGGAAGATGGAAAACCTGGATTTGCATGTGGAAGCAATGAACTAAAAAAAAATGTTGTTTCCATTATTTACACATGTAACATATACATATAAACTGATGAACCTACATAATTCCAAGTTATCTATGTATTTATCTACATATTTATTGTACTTCAGATAACTAAAATAATTCCTATAGAAAAATTTTCCAAATATTTTATTTTAATTTAATTGACTAGCTATGAAAATAATTACTGATTTTGACTTTAGGATTGTGTGCCTATGGTAGATTTATCACAAAATGTGAAGGAGAAATATAGACCTGCATATGCTTTCACCCTATGGAAGTAATGAACAATAAATGCAGCTGTGGGAAATGAACATAAAATTAAAAAGCCAGGAATATGTGCTGAACCCAGAACTATAGCTGTGGTAGAACAGTAACAAGGAAAAGGACTCACCTCCAAGACCCAGCATACAGTGCCTGCCTGACTGAGGCTTATCCAGAACAACGGCCCTTTCGTGCACTCCTACCCATACCAGGCTAACAAGCAGGGAACAATAATTAATGTGTAAATACTCTATGAAGTGTTAAAGAGCTACACAAATAAGTAAACAGAGGGAGACCATCATCATATGTTGGAGCAGAAATTAAGAAAAATCCTCTGGTCAACCAGCCTCCACCCCTAACACAAGATTTGACTACAGGAATCTGAAACCTGTGGTGTACTAAACGGAACACAGCAACAGCAAAGCCAAAGTCACTGCAACTTCAGAAGAGATTGTTATCAGCCAATACGGGCCTAGTGGCAGAAAAGATTTACTCATTTCCAGGCATGCGTAATACCTGTCTCTAGCAGTCTATACATGATGACTAATTCAACAAGAAATTGTGAAAAAGCAATACAATGCCAAGAGCCAAAACAACAAATAGAATCCAGATTCAGATAGAACACATGTTGAAACCATTCAACAAGAAATTTAAATGGAAATCTAATACTTCAGATCATTTTTGCACTAATTAATTTCTGGCTTGTTCATCAGAATTGGACTTATTAAAATATAGGCTCCACATTTAACACAGAATACTAGACATAAGCAGAAACATAAAAAATATCCTAGCTCCCTGAATAAAATGAAGATGAAGAAAACTTTACTGCTCAGAGTCGGGGAAGATTATGGCAAAATAGATCAAAATGTTGAATAACCATTTTCCTTCATTTCTTCTTTTATTATCATCTATCTTTTTGGTATTTTTCTCCATTTTCTACTTAAATGCTCTTGCTCAAAGGTTATATATTCATCCTTCTTCACTTCAAGATTTTCATAAATTCATTTTTTATTCATATCCATGCTTCATTTCTGAGCTCTTACCAATACGCTAATGAATACTAACTCTACATCTTTAGACCTGATATCTGCTTGGTCTGCAGAAATACATTTCTGCTGTATTGCTGCAGGATATCCTGCCAAAACTTTTTTTCTACATGCCTAAAACAGATTTCAACATGCATAATGTACTATTAAATATCTCTTTCTCAAAATTTGTTTAATAAACTTGTATTAATTTTAAAAATATACAACACAACTATCTAACACTGAAAGCTAGAGGTAAACATTCTTAACCTCTCTATACACTTCCCTTAGTAAACCTAAACCTTCCCTTCCCTCTAAGGTTCATCACCTCTTGTCTAAACTATAAAATTAATCCTTTTAACCAGTTAGCATATCTGGATTCTCACCTTCTTCAAATTCAACCTAAAACTGACATCAGTATACTCTATGTACTCTATGTATTCTGTACAGCAACAAGTCAAAAATAATATTTTTGATAAAACTTTTCAACATTTGTCTGTTGCCTGGCAAAGTAATTACAAACTTCTTAGACAACTGTGTTGTACAAACATGTTCACACACAGTTTCTTTCCCCCGAATTTAGGTGTATTTCTGGTCACCTGAATTTATACATATTCTATCTGTTATCTTGAATAATCTTTCCTTCCTGAAAATGCTTTAATTTCTCATAGTTCCCTATCTATGTTCATGCTGCTTCCAGTTACTGGAATCTCTGTCATAATCCTCCTGATAAAATACATTTTATTATTTTTACCTTTTTTCTAGTACTTAATACATTGTACTTTAGTGATTTTTAGGTGACTAGATCATATTAATTGTACATAACCCACAGTATGAGACAGAGTATAGTAAATTTATCAGTTCCAAAGTGTATTTTTATTATCATCTGCTGATGGCAAACACAGTTATTAATAATACAAAAAAGTTATTTGCAGAGAGCTCTTGTTTTCTTTTACTTATATTACAAGAATATTTTTGATAATGCAATTTGCATTATCAATTATATCAATTTGTGTCATCAATTATATCAAAGGTTAGACCTCAGATATTTTTGTGACTACTTAAAAATTCTTCATATTTAGATGAATTAATTATTAGGCTTTTGAGGGGATTGAGAGCTGAGGAATAATTTTCTAGTTTCAGTGGGAAATCATCCTGTTTTACAAAACTGTAAAAATAGTGGATAAAATTTATAATTTAAATAAGTGAAATAGAGAAACAAGTCCCTATCATGCATAATAAATATGATTTTATTAAGTAGGAATGTTATTAACAGTAGAGAAATTGGTTTGTAAAAAAATGATTTTGATGCTCCACCTTTAAACTATTCTCTCCAGCTAGGTCCCAGGGCTTCTTTGGCTCTCTGCCATATCAAACCTTCGCTATTCAATTCACCCTCTTTAAACTAATCTGCATATTGTGATTGTCCTTCCTTGGATAACTATATTACTTAATATTGAAGCCAGTTGATTGAAATATACACCATATTGATTTTTGAAATGTATGCTATATTTGGCCATCTTTAGGCCATAATTTGAAAATTATAGCATGTTACTTTTATTTTACATTGTATTGACATATAATGGCTTATAATCATAACCAGATTTTTAGTCAATCCCTGAGGGTAATTTCTTTTATAAAATAGTCCACGTAGCATAAAGTTTTCTAAGATGCTCAGTGTATAGAATGTCCCTAAGCACAAAATCAATGTTTGCATACTAATTCTTCTAATGTATAATTCATTTGTGCCTTATCACAATTTAATATCCACAGACGAATAAAAATAATGACATGCATTGATACATAATCTATCTATTCCAAAGCATATTATTCTCCACTTGCTCACGGACCAAGACACTGTTCAAGTAAGCATTATTAGAGTATTGGGACTTTAGAAGTTGAGAATCTTTAAAGATCAAGATGTCTTTCACTCATTTATTTGTTCTAGTTCCTTAAAATACAAATACTAATGTCACTGGTTATCTCTAGATAATTTCTATGACCAACCTCCAGCTCCACAACTTCTTCCCAAATGTTCATGAATTGACCAAAAGCTGGCTTTAAAACGCAGGCAAATTCATAGATTGCTATCTATGCTATTCATAGATGGCTATCAGTGGGCTTAAAAGGTATAGAATATCTACTCTCCAAAATTACCTTTCCTTTTTCAGTAACACAATGTGAGACTTTTATTGCCATTGTATATCAGACATTTAATACAGGATACCAGCATATGTAGCTTTACTCAATTTCTGTATCTTTTCTCCCACTGTAGAAGCTATTTGTGCTCATGGAAGGGAATATTTTTTCAATCCAATTTATTAAGATATATAAAACAATTGTTCTCATTTCTTTATGTTAATTAAATAAAATTATGTCATTCATATGGTTTTTAGTTCCTTTTTCCTCTTATAAATAGAAGAAAAGGAAAACTAATGGTAAATCATCCTTTTTTGAAGCTTATCAAAGTTTTTATATTGAAGCAAGAAATTATTTAAAAATTAAAAAGTAATGTTAATTTAGAACTAATTTAGTCATTAATGGTTATCAGTAAGTCAGGTGGATATCTGAGGATTTAAAATTAAAATATTACAAAACATTGGATTGTATAATATTGCTTTTTATTGCAAGCAGTCCAATGGAAACTATCATATTCCTACAATACATCTATTTCCTGGATAAATTGATTCATTCAGAATTGGGCATAAAACCCAAGATGAGCTAATGAGTTCTTTCCCCGAAACTTTTGAATTTGGTATACAGAAGACAAGCTCTCTATTGCTGGTGGATGAAGCTGTGAGGCTTAAACTTTGGATTCTAAGAGAAGCTACATTTTATCTGCAAATATCATGAAAATTGGAGAATTCTGCTGTTCAGAGAAAGAAAAAGGAGAGAAATAGATGCACAGAAAGGAGCATAAACGACAGGTAGAGTGAATAGTCTGATCATATTTGAGTCTCTAATTCAAGTCATTACTATTCTTAGTTTCATAAACAAAATAGTTTTCTTGAAATATATTTCTCATTTATTTAGTTTGAGTTATTCTGGAATCTAGGAAAATAATAGGTTACGATTGGAAGTTCTGGCTAGGGCAATCAGGCAAGAGAAAGAAATAAAGGGTATTCAATTAGGAAAAGAAGAAGGCAAATTGTCTCTGTTTGAGGATGACATGATTGTATATTTAGAAAATCCCAATGTCTCAGCCCAAAATCTCCTTAAGCTGATAAGCAACTTCAGCAAAGTCTCAGAATGCAAAATCAATGTGCAAAAATCACAAGCATTCCTATACACAAATAATAGAGAGACAAATCATGAGTGAACTCCCATTCACAGTTACTACAAAGAGAATAAAATACCTAGGAATCCAGTTTACAAGGGAGGTGAAGGACCTCTTCAAGGAGAACTACAAACCACTGCTCAACAAAATAAAAGAGGGCTCAAACAAATGGAAGAACATTCCGCACTCATGGATAGAAAGAATCAATACCATGAAAATGGCCGTACTGCCCAAGGTAATTTATAGATTCAATGCCATCCTCATCAAGCTGCCAAGGACTTTCTTCACAGAATTGGAAAAAAATACTTTAAAGTTCATATGGAACCAAAAAAGAGCCCACATAGCCAAGACAATCCTAAGCAAAAAGAACAAAGCTGGAGGCATCACACTACCTGACTTCAAACTATACTCCAAGGGTACAGTAATCAAAACAGCATGGTACTGGCACCAAAACAGTTACATAGAACAACGGAACAGAACAGAGGCCTCAGAAATAATACCACATATCTGCAACCATCCGATCTTTGACAAACCCGACAAAACAAGCAATGGGGAAAGGATTCCCTATTTAATCAATGGTGCTGGGAAAACTGGCTAGCCATACGTAGAAAGCTGAAACTGGATCCCTTCTTTACACCATATACAAACATTAACTCAAGATAGATTAAAGACTTAAATGTAAGACCTAACACCATAAAAATCCTAGAAGAAAACCTACGCAATACCATTCAGGACATAGGCATGGGCAAAGACTTCATGACTAAAACACCAAAAGCAATGGCAACAAAAGCCAAAATAGACAAATAGGATCTAATTAAACTAAAGAGCTTCTGCATAGCAAAAGAAACTACCATCAGAGTGAACAGGCAACCTACAGAATAGGAGAAAAATTTTCCAATCTACCCATCTTATAAAGGGCTAATATCCAGAATCTACAAAGAACTTAAACAAATTTACAAGGAAAAAAAAAACCCATCAAAAAGTGGGCAAAGGATATGAACAGACACTTCTCAAAGAAGACATTTTTGTAGCCAACAGACATATGAAAAAATGCTCATCATCACTGGTCATCAGAGAAACACAAATCAAAATCATAATCAGATACCATCTCACACCAGTTAGAATGCCGATCATTAAAAAGTCAGGAAACAACAGATGCTGGAGAGGATGTGGAGAAATAGGAATGCTTTTACACTGTTGGGACTGTAAACTAGTTGAACCATTTTGGAAGACAGTGTGGCAATTCCTCAAGGATCTAGAACTAGAAATACCATTTGACCCAGCAATCCCATTACTGGGTATATACCCAAAGGATTATAAATCATGCTACTATAAAGACACATGCACATGTATGTTTATTGGAGAACTGTTCACAATAGCAAAGATTTGGAAACAACACAAATGTCCATGAATGATAGATTGGATTAAGAAAATGTGGCACATATACACTGTAAAATACTGTGCAGACATAAAAAAGAATGAGTTCATGTCCTTTGCAGGGACATGAATGAAGCTGGAAACCAGCATTCTAAGGAAACTATCACAAGGACAGAAACCAAACACCACATGTTCTCACTCATAGGTGGGAGTTGAACAATGAGAACACATGAACACAGGGCTGGGAACATCACACACCAGGGCCTGTTTTGGGGTGGGGGCTGGGGGAGGGATAGCACTAGGAGAAATACCTAATGTAAATGATGAGTTGATGGGTGCAGCAAACTAACATGGCACATGTATACCTATGTAACAAACGTGCACATTGTGCACATGTACCCTAGAACTTTAATAAAAAAAAGTTATGATTACCAACATATATATATAATATTTAATAATGAAATGTTATAGTATGTAATGGAAGCCATCAGGACAGCACCAAATTCTTTATATTTAATATATATTAAATATAAATAATTGACTATACATTGAAATAGTCTTCTCTGAATGATTAAATGCAATATAATCTTAATAACAAATGAATAATTAAAATTTAAAACATAGCAACAAAATTTGATTTTACGATTTTTTAATAGGTTGTTTTAAAATACTTTAGTGGTATGGGATTTTTTTTTTTTTAATGCCAGCATTAATGAACATATTTATTTAAATCAAATAATCTTTGGAGGTCAAATGCATTTTAAAATGCAATTTGGTATTTTCTTTTTTATTTTATTTTTTTATTTTTATTTTTTATTATACTTTAAGTTTTAGGGTACATGTGCACATTGTGCAGGTTAGTTACATATGTATACATGTGCCATGCTGGAGCGCTGCACCCACTAACTATATATCTCCCAATGCTATCCCTCCCCCCCACCCACAACAGTCCCCAGAGTGTGATATTCCCCTTCCTGTGTCCATGTGATCTCATCGTTCAATTCCCACCTATGAGTGAGAATATGCGGTGTTTGGTTTTTTTGTTCTTATGATAGTTTACTGAGAATGATGATTTCCAATTTCATCCATGTCCCTACAAAGGACATGAACTCATCATTTTTTATGGCTGCATAGTATTCCATGGTGTATATGTGCCACATTTTCTTAATCCAGTCTATCATTGTTGGACATTTGGGTTGGTTCCAAGTCTTTGCTATCGTGAATAATGCTGCAATAAACATACGTGTGCATGTGTCTTTATAGCAGCATGATTTATAGTCCTTTGGGTATATACCCAGTAATGGGATGGCTGGGTCAAATGGTATTTCCAGTTCTAGATGCCTGAGGAATCGCCACACTGACTTCCACAATGGTTGAACTAGTTTACAGTCCCACCAACAGTGTAAAAGTGTTCCTATTTCTCCACACCCTCTCCTGCACCTGTTGTTTCCTGACTTTTTAATGATTGCCATTCTAACTGGTGTGAGATGGTATCTCATTGTGGTTTTGATTTGCATTTCTCTGATGGCCAGTGATGATGAGCATTTTTTCATGTGTTTTTTGGCTGCATAAATGTCTTCTTTTGAGAGGTGTCTGTTCATGTCCTTTGCCCACTTTTTGATGGGGTTGTTTGTTTTTTTCTTGTAAATTTGTTTGAGTTCATTGTAGATTCTGGATATTAGCCCTTTGTCAGATGAGTAGGTTGCGAACATTTTCTCCCATTTTGTAGGTTGCCTGTTCACTCTGATGGTAGTTTCTTTTGCTGTGCAGAAGCTCTTTAGTTTAATTAGATCCCATTTGTCAATTTTGTCTTTTGTTGCCATTGGTTTTGGTGAGTGAACTCCCATTCACAATTGCTTCAAAGAGAATAAAATACCTAGGAATCCAACTTACAAGGGATGTGAAGGACCTCTTCAAGGAGAACTGCAAACTGCTGCTCAAGGAAATAAAAGAGGATACAAACAAATGGAAGAACATTCCATGCTCATGGGTAGGAAGAATCAATATCGTGAAAATGGCCATACTGCCCAAGGTAATTTACAGATTCAATGCCATCCCCATCAAGCTACCAATGCCTTTCTTCACAGAATTGGAAAAAACTACTTTAAAGTTCATATGGTGGATAAGCTTTTTGATGTGCTGCTGGATTCTGTTTGCCAGTATTTTATTGAGGATTTTTGCATCAGTGTTCATCAAGGATATTGGTCTAAAATTCTCTTTTTTTGTTGTGTCTCTGCCTGGCTTTGGTATCAGAATGATGCTGGTCTCATAAAATGAGTTAGGGAGGATTCCCTCTTTTTCTATTTATTGGAATAGTTTCAGAAGGAATGGTACCAGTTCCTCCTTGTACCTCTGGTAGAATTCGGCTGTGAATCCATCTGGTCCTGGACTCTTTTTGATTGGTAAGCTATTGATTATTGCCACAATTTCAGATCCTGTTATTGGTCTATTCAGAGATTCAACTTCTTCCTGGTTTAGTCTTGGGAGAGTGTATGTGTCCAGGAATTTATCCATTTCTTCTAGATTTTCTAGTTTATTTGCGTAGAGGTGTTTGTAGTATTCCCTGATGGTAGTTTGTATTTCTGTGGGATCGGTGGTGATATCCCCTTTATCATTTTTTATTGCAGCGATTTGATTCTTCTCTCTTTTTTTCTTTATTAGTCTTGCTAGCAGTCTATCAATTTTGTTGATCCTTTCAAAAAACCAGCTCCTGGATTCATTAATTTTTTGAAGGGTTTTTTGTGTCTCTATTTCCTTCAGTTCTGCTCTGATTTTAGTTATTTCTTGCCTTCTGCTAGCTTTTGAATGTGTTTCCTCTTGCTTTTCTAGTTCTTTTAATTGTGATGTTAGGGTGTCAATTTTGGATCTTTCCTGCTTTCTCTTGTGGGTATTTAGTGCTATAAATTTCCCTCTACACACTGCTTTGAATGCGTCCCAGAGATTCTGGTATGTTGTGTCTTTGTTCTCATTGGTTTCAAAGAACATCTTTATTTCTGCCTTCATTTCGTTATGTACCCAGTAGTCATTCAGGAGCAGGTTGTTCAGTTTCCATGTAGCTGAGCGGTTTTGAGTGAGATTCTTAATCCTGAGTTCTAGTTTGATTGCACCGTGGTCTGATAGATAGTTTGTTATAATTTCTGTTCTTTTACATTTGCTGAGGAGAGCTTTACTTCCAAGTATGTGGTCAATTTTGGAATAGCTGTGGTGTGGTGCTGAGAAAAATGCATATTCTGTTGATTTTGGGTGGAGAGTTCTGTAGATGTCTATTAGGTCTGCTTGGTGCAGAGCTGAGTTCAATTCCTGGGTATCCTTGTTGACTTTCTGTCCCGTTGATCTGTCTAATGTTGACAGTGGGGTGTTAAAGTCTCCCATTATTAATGTGTGGGAGTCTAAGTCTCTTTGTAGGTCACTCAGGACTTGCTTTATGAATCTTGGTGCTCCTGTATTGGGTGCATATATATTTAGGATAGTTAGCTCTTCTTGTTGAATTGATCCCTTTACCATTATGTAATGGCCTTCTTTGTCTCTTTTGATCTTTGTTGGTTTAAAGTCTGTTTTATCAGAGACTAGGATTGCAACCCCTGCCCTTTTTTGTTTTCCATTTGCTTGGTAGATCTTCCTCCATCCTTTTATTTTGAGCCTATGTGTGTCTCTGCACGTGAGATGGGTTTCCTGAATACAGCACACTGATGGGTCTTGACTCTTTATCCAATTTGCCAGTCTGAGTCTTTTAATTGGAGCATTTAGTCCATTTACATTTAAAGTTAATATTGTTATGTGTGAATTTGATCCTGTCATTATGATGTTAGCTGGTTATTTTGCTCGTTAGTTGATGCAGTTTCTTCCTAGTCTCGATGGTGTTTACATTTTGGCATGATTTTGCAGCAGCTGGTACTGATTGTTCCTTTCCATGTTTAGTGCTTCCTTCAGGAGCTCTTGTAAGGCAGGCCTGGTGGTGACAAAATCTCTCAGCATTTGCTTGTCTGTAAAGGATTTTATTTCTCCTTTGCTTATGAAGCTTAGTTTGGCTGGATATGAAATTCTGGGTTGAAAATTCTTTTCTTTAAGAATGTTGAATATTGGCCCCCACTCTCTTCTGGCTTGTAGGGTTTCTGCCGAGAGATCTGCTGTTAGTCTGATGGGCTTCTCTTTGAGGGTAACCCGACCTTTCTCTCTGGCTGCCCTTAACATTTTTTCCTTCATTTCAACTTTGGTGAATCTGACAATTATGTGTCTTGGAGTTGCTCTTCTCGAGGAGTATCTTTGTGGCATTCTCTGTATTTCCTGAATCTGAACGTTGGCCTGCCTTGCTAGATTGGGGAAGTTCTCCTGGATAATATCCTGCAGAGTGTTTTCCAACTTGGTTCCATTCTCCCCATCACTTTCAGGTCCACCAATCAGACATAGATTTGGTCTTTTAACATAGTCCCATATTTCTTGGAGGCTTTGCTCATTTCTTTTTATTCTTTTTTCTCTAGACTTCCCTTCTGGCTTCATTTCATTCATTTCATCTTCCATCGCTGATAGCCTTCCTTCCAGTTGATTGCATCGGCTCCTGAGGCTTCTGCATTCTTCACGTAGTTCTCGAGCCTTGGTTTTCAGCTCCATCAGCTCCTTTAAGCACTTCTCTGTATTGGTTATTCTAGTTATACATTCTTCTAAATTTTTTTCAAAGTTTTCAACTTCTTTGCCTTTGGTTTGAATGTCCTCCCGTAGCTCAGAGTAATTTGATCGTCTGAAGCCTTCTTCTCTCAGCTCGTCAAAGTCATTCTCCATCCAGCTTTGTTCCGTTGCTGGTGAGGAACTGCGTTCCTTTGGAGGAGGAGAGGCACTCTGCTTTTTAGAGTTTACAGTTTTTCTGTTCTGTTTTTTCCCCATCTTTGTGGTTTTATCTACTTTTGGTCTTTGATGATGGTGATGTACAGATGGGTTTTTGGTGTGGATGTCCTTTCTGTTTGTTAGTTTTCCTTCTAACAGACAGGACCCTCAGCTGCAGGTCTGTTGGAATACCCTGCCATGTGAGGTGTCAGTGTGCCCCTGCTGGGGGGTGCCTCCCAGTTAGGCTGCTCGGGGGTCAGGGGTCAGGGACCCACTTGAGGAGGCAGTCTGCCCGTTCTCAGATCTCCAGCTGTGTGCTGGGAGAACCACTGCTCTCTTCAAAGCTGTCAGACAGGGACATTTAAGTCTGCAGAGGTTACTGCTGTCTTTTTGTTTGTCTGTGCCCTGTCCCCAGAGGTGGGGCCTACAGAGGCAGGCAGGCCTCCTTGAGCTGTGGTGGGCTCCACCCAGTTCCAGCTTCCTGGCTGCTTTGTTTACCTAATCAAGCCTGGGCAATGGCGGGCGCCCCTCCCCCATCCTCGCTGCCGCCTTACAGTTTGATCTCAGACTGCTGTGCTAGCAATCAGGGAGACTCCGTGGGCGTAGGACCCTCCGAGCCAGGTGCGGGATATAACCTCGTGGTGCATCGTTTTTTAAGCCCGTTGGAAAAGCGCAGTATTCGGGTGGGAGTGACCCGATTTTCCAGGTGCCTTCCGTCACCCCTTTCTTGGACTCAGAAAGGGTACTCCCTGACCCCTTGTGCTTCCCAGGTGAGGCAATGCCTCGCCCTGCTTCGGCTCGCGCAAGGTGAGCGCACCCACTGACCTGCGCCCACTGTCTGCCACTCCCTAGTGAGATGAACCCGGTACCTCAGATGGAAATGCGGAAATCACCCGTCTTCTGCGTTGCTCACGCTGGGAGCTGTAGACCGGAGCTGTTCCTATTCGGCCATCTTGGCTCCTCCCTGGTATGGGGTTTTTTTTTCTTTATTATTAAAGCACAATATTAAAAAAAAAGATAGTGACTTATAACAACTCCAACTCTGAAACATTTAATTCTACCTTCGAAAATCTCTTTACAATATGAAGTCAGGGCTAATTTCTACAAATAAATAAATAACTTTTTAATGAATATGATCACCTTTCAACCTTTCTATTAATTGTGTCCTTAAAATGTTTTGAATTTATTTATATATTTTTAAACATTTTTAGCCTTTAACCTTTTATTTCTTCTGCATTTACCCTTAAATATTATGTATCAGATATGTAATAGTGAAGAAAATGATGAGGAGGGAGAAAGACCTATTAATAAGTAACATGTAGTAACCACTTATTATGTGGTAGGTAGGAATCAAGTTTCTTCACATTTTTAACTCAAGTCTTACAAAATTCCCTAACCTCAGCACTGTGTTTAATCCTCCTTTTGTAGGTAAAGAAACTTGCCTCAAATAACAAATAGAGAAGGCTAGAGCTAGAATTTTAAAAAGCATTCTGACTCCAGAGTACACACTTTTAAATACTGACTTTATTGAATTCCTGAGAATAAAATGCAAAAGGATTTCAGAGTCAGAATATGTAGACTTGAAGTCCTCACTCAATTATTTAAACTAGGTCAATTTCCTTCATTGCAAAATAAACTATGTAATTATAACTGTTTTATTTTCAGACCATTGTAAGAATTAAATAGGGTAGTAGTTGGAGAACATGTTTTATAAGCTAGTAATTAGTATTCATATAAGTTTGTACCTATTTATCATGATAGAGTTATTCCAATTTGTTTTGGTTATCAATTCTGGTTGCCTCAACTACTGGAGAATTACGACAATAATTAATACTTTTAAAAATTGAGTGTCATTTAATATTTTATTTTTAGATATAAAAGAGCTGTCATTTTCAAATTCTATATTTTTTAAGTTAATTTTCTAGCTCACATTTACCTGTTTGCTTTACTCATAGTCATATTCTAATTATTTTGAAATCAGGAAAAAGAAAACGAAAGAACTCAGACATAATAAAGGGGCATTATCTTTCATGTGTTTTTATGATTAATTGAAACAAAGAGCAAGTCAGTTAAAATAAAGTAACTCATTCCTATTCATTAAGGATTGAAAGAGAATCACACTGATGAGCTCATTATTATTCATAAATGCCTTTAGCTATGGTGACAAAAGTTGTATCAATTTAAAATGCAGTATCAATTTAAAATGCAATTAAATGTAAACACATTGCATTTCATACTTTATAGTTTTGTAATTTGTATTAATTAGTACATGGGATTTTCTCATGTAAGCAGATCGGTTGGTTTAAATTTTGACTCATTCTGTTTTTATCTCTACCACTAATTTTTGTCAGCAATGCATATAACACAACTTAAAACTCTAAAATTATACACAATAATTCATATGCAATATTGGTTATTAAAAAGGGGAGGAAGATTCAACACAAACATGTGTATGATTCTGTCTCAGGTACTTTTATCTTGTAAACAGACAAGACATAGAATAAGAGATTAAATATATTTGAACTTTGGATAGTGTGGTATCATAGAAATCAGCTATTTCAGGAAGGAAATGCCCATCTTCATTAATTACTGTTGGCATTTAAGATGAGGACAAAAGCTATCTACACAGTGTAAAATAAAATAAGTGATTATTAATCAACCTAGAGGCATTGTAGTAGACCAGTGTAGGCAGAAACCAGATCAGAATGGTTTGAGTAGGAGAAACTGAAAAAGTATCAACATATTCAGAAAGTGTTGATGTTTTGAGTATTGTCCTATAAGGAAAAATTAAAGTGATCTCCCTAGGGTAGGGGGCTTAGAATACTATAAGATTTGTTTATGAGGCTTTTCTGTTTTTTTATTCTTGTTAAGAAAGAGAAAGTGGAGTAAGCTTGTTTGCTGATAAGACAGTACATCAAGAGAGTTTGTAAGAACAGACAAAAAAAAAATGGGGCATTCAGCATCTTATGATTCTGGTGAACATTTGGATGGTGGAGTGGGATACTGAGAACAGGTGAGGGATTGGCAAGGAGAGGGAAATTTTCTCCATTTAAACAAATAAAGAGTATATATGTAGATATGGCTTTTGTTTGTTTGCTTGATTGTCTACATTTGGTCATCAGATACACAGAAGATTCTATTTTCTCAGGTTGTTCATCAAAAAAAAGGCATTCACTAGGAGTCTGAAGGGATGCAGATATTTTGAGGAGTAAAGGAGAAAGTATGCAGGAGAAAGTGTGCAGTTGCAACTGCAGAAGAGGTGCAGTGAGTGCGCCAAAAATAAGCGAGGAAAAGGAGTGGAGTGTTGAGCACCAAAGCAAGATTTCTTATGATTAATTTGGAGAGGTGCTAACTCATTGTATAGTTTTCCCCAGCAGAGGTCAACAAGTGTGTAATAGTGAGCTAAATAGTAAAAGAAGGAGAAAGAGGGGAAGGAGGAGAAGCAGACAAGGAGGGGCCGGCAGTGTGCTCAGGATTTTGCCTGATTGTCCCCTCTAATCCTTTTAACCTCATTAAGTAAGTGCTTTTATTATTTCCATTTTTGTTACAGATAAGGGTAAATGGGGCATAAAGGGGTCAAATGAATTGTCAAAACTCTCACGGTTAATACATGCCCAAGCTGACCTGAACCCTGTACCGTCTAACACAAGAGCCTGAATTTTAACCACTAGGCATAATATTGCTTTCTATAAAATCAGTTATGTGCATGGTGTATTTGGAGAAAAACAGTTCTCTTTGGCCTGAAATTGTGATTTCAGGAATAATGGTTTATACGATTGAAAGCATAGATAAGAAACAAGTTTGTATAAGGTAAATAAAATCAAGCTAATGGGCGCTGGGTTTTAACTTCAAATTTTTAGAATTATTGAAGTCTTCAGGGTTGAGATATGGTAACTGTATAAACAATTAACTTCAGGAAATTTAGTTAAGAAAAAAACAAAGTGTAGAAATCAATTTTAATTATTTTGTGTTAGTATAGGATTTTGTCCATAACACCTGTATGAAAAGAAATGAATAAACAAATGTTGGTTATAAGATGAAGTTCAAATGGTAAAAGATTACTGTAGGGATTTTTTATTTTGCCTAACTTAAAAATTAAAGTTATATTCACACCAATTTATCTAACTGCTATGTTCATCATCTTCAACATATTCTCTCATAATGATTTACCCAATCTCTGATTAGCCAAACTTGCTATGGCTAGACTAGAACACAGAGACACAACCAATTAATGAAACATAATATAAATGATTACTTAACTTAAATCAAATACATATGTTTAAGTAACTTTTTCAAGGCACTGAAAGAGTGCTGGTTTGAATATACTTATTATCTTTGTACAGTTAAATTTATACATATTTAATTTTGTTGTATATTTTATACATATATTCTAAATTGTGTGTATGTATATATGTATACATGTATGTACAAATCATATGTATAAATACCTACGTATTTGCATATGATGAGGCTTGAGGGAAAATACAGAGGTGATACATTTTAATAATGTGATCATTTTAAAACCAGAAAATTAATTTTGAAAATAAAAAGACTGCATCATTCCGAGATATTTATATCTCAAACATCATAAAAAATTGAAGATCATCTCTATACATTTAATCCTCACATTTATTGAGTTCTGTGGATTTTCTGGCAGCACAGCCTTTCTGGGAAATGAGTGGCCACCCCCACCCTCATCCCGTTTTCTGGGCTCCAGAGTGAGCTGCAGTGTTTTTATGTTATCCCGACCTCTTGTTCCAGTTGATTAGTTCAGGAGTTTGCATTTGCTTTAGCATAGGCTGACAAGTCACTTCCTAAGAGCATGAGTCCCTTGAAAATAACAGCACCACCAACAACAAAGCCGCAGGGAGAATAGAGCTGATTTACACCGAGTAGTTCCAACCAGGGACAGAGAATCCTGGTGCCATTCAGTCTTAGTCCTAGTCCTTTTTTGTGTCCTTCTACATATCTGCCTTTCACTTGATTAGAGTATTGAAACCTCTGAGGATTTTGCCAGGCAATGGGGGCCCCTTTTTTTCTGAAGGAAGATAGCTAGACTTCTGCTACTTAAAATACAAAATTAATATAAGCACCTAGTCAGTACTGTTGTTTATATTAATGCAAAGATTCAATCAAAGATTGCGTAATATCAGCATGAGGAAGAATAGTCTTAAAGTAATAAAGAATAAAATGCTTTCACCCTTTAAAAATACATTCTGAGTGGGATGGTTAAAATTCTGACTCTCAGCCTACTTAAAAACACCCCAGGTTATAAAACTCTAATGTTAGAAAGTAAGTGGAGCTCATCTCTAATGAATAGATGTCAATAGATTAGCATTTTAAATATGGGATGACAGCATGATTGCAGCAAACATCTGTAAAATTATTGCTTTTCATCTACATTAATTTGCTAAATGACTGCCATGCAAATAGCCCCAAACCATAAATAAAAAAAGCATTCAGGAATCATTAGTAAATTAGACTTTCGTTACCTGATTCAAAAATCAAAAAAGACATTAAGTGTGTTGATGCATAACACACAGTATTAGAATCTGTTGAGGAGGTACAATTTAGTGGAAACCAAGGCCCTTTTGTGTCCAAAGAGAATTTCGGAGAATGAGTGCATGCTGGTTTTAGTGGTTATTGTTGGCTATTATAAAGAGATTGATGTGTATCAGTGTGTTGTAAAAGAATGTTTACCATGCTGTGACACAGTAGTTACCTTTGAATTTCTGCCTATGGATATGAATTTGTGTATGGAGATTGTTGCACTGCATTGAGTTTATACAGGCAGCACAGCTACTGTAACCATCTTGCTGAGAAGTTGATGTCAAAAAGAGAGGGAAAAAAGTCAAAAATATAGGCAACCTGGTATGTGGCTCTATTTTTTTTATGTTTCACATAGGCCTGTCAAATATTCAAAAAATACGAATTATATACAGATTAAAAAGTTTGTAAATTTGCTTCACTTTAAACCAGTGGTTTTGTTAAAGTATAGGTTTCATATATTCTATTTAAAAGGAACTTAATTCAGAAAACTCTTTTTATTATTTGGGGCTGTAATTTGTGTTTAATTAGGGATTGAGAACTTTTAAAATCAGTTTGAATGTGTGAACACAGTTCAAAATAGTAAATGCAAAAGTTAATAATTTCTTATTTTCTCAAATTAGGCCCTAAGGTAAACAGAATGCATAGTGTACGAAAAAAATAATATTAATAACAACCCCTAGTCACAGCACGGGTACTGCCAGGTGCTGTGCTAAACGTATTGAATCTATTACCTCATTTAATTTTCCAACAGTCATATAAATAAATTGTTATGATTATCCCAATTTACAGAAAGATAACTATTGTTTGATAATTTAAGTAATTTTCCTGAGGTTACAATGTCATAAGAAGCGCTGAGACTTGCTTTATTTCTAAATCTAGGGATCACACTGTCAACCACCTTGCAATATTACTTAAAGAAAGATACTCTGTTTAACCAGGCTCCAGCTCCCTCCTATCCCCAGGTGTCCTGAGCTCAATACATCACGTCATTCTAATTCCCTAACTCTGTCACACACTCTCATACATGCATACCTTGTCAGTGCTGTTTCTCCTTCCTGACATACACTTCCAGGTATTATTTTAAGGTTCACCCTCATTCCTGCTAAGAGGCTCAGCAGAAAATATTTTCTCTTACTGTTCCAGAAAATAAACAAACAAACCAGCAAAATTAAACTAGATGTTCTCTTCTGAGTAAGATGGTGATGCTTTTCTTTCACTGCTGTCCTGTTCCTATCATATAGCCTTACATTCATTCAATATATATCAGCCTGTCGTATAGGTGGTAAGATCATGGATGTACAGAGCCAACATGTTTTGTTGGTATTCCTAGTATTTGCATGCTGCCTGCAACACTGGGAATTCTCAATAATGGTTTGGTGTCTACATAAATGTAGCAAATGCTGGATTTATCCCCTATGATTAAAAATCATAAGATGTCATATTTGTATTGCTGGAAATTATGTCATGGTACTTGAATCATTTCTTGTAATCTTAAAATAAGCTCATATTTACTTACTCTTAGCTGTTTCAGAGAGATACGGTCATGTAACTTCTCTTAAGTCCTCAGGAAGTTTTCTGGTCTTTGCTTACTTTATATTAATAACTATCAAGATGACATCTTTAATACAATTATATAATTCACTTTCATAGCAATCAATCCACTTGTAAATCCATATGTTAATTTGTGTGATACTCTGTTTGATGTCTGTCTTCCCCCAAATCTTGCATATTCTATGAAGAAAATTCCATGATTTGATAAAAATTTTGTCCTTAGCAACTATCACGGATTATGACACAGAAGCAGAATTCAACTTAAAGGAATAAATGTGTTATTTGCCTTATTACTGGGTTTGGAAAAATCAATTTAAGTTTTCTTATTTTGTACAGTCTGGTAATTTAATATAAAGATATTAGAA
This sequence comes from Homo sapiens, assembly GCF_000001405.40. Taxonomy (NCBI): domain Eukaryota; kingdom Metazoa; phylum Chordata; class Mammalia; order Primates; family Hominidae; genus Homo; species Homo sapiens. The sequence continues at coordinate 102,715,604 of NC_000006.12, read as the reverse complement.
ATTGCCTAGACTGTCTAAATAATAAATGTGAGATTAAATTATAATTAAATTCTAAAAAGTTTTTAACTAATTAGACTTCATTACATCTAGATAAAATAGACTCACTTATGCTATAAAATATTTTATATTATTGAAATTTTAATATAATCAATGAAACATAAAACTGAATTATGAATGGTAGTCTTCCAATATGGCAAAGTTTTAATAATTCTAGTCTGAAAGAATCCTCTTGGAGTTAAGGATGACTTAAGATAAAATAGACACAAAAGAATTGAGCTTAGGATCATTGCAATGTTATATACCATTTAAATGTTACAAAACAATATAATACACCACAAGGTGCTAGAACATGTCAAATAAATGTATAATATTGGACCACTTGAGGCACTATTAATTAAAACCATGCTACATGAAACCTAATGAGGAACATGAAGTACCAATATCAAGCACAGGTCTGATGCTGGCAGCTGCAATAACGCTTGTCCCCAAGTAAATAGTGAATGTCCTTACCTTTTAAAAGTAGCTAAGTGTATTACAAGACTAGAGATATGACCATATTCTAGAATAGCTCAATGGTATAATGACTTCAGTTCCAGTTACTACTTATCAAAGTATGTTTTTATATTTATAGCAATGTAAGCTGATGATGTAAAAAGAAGCCTAAAGCACATGGCTTTGTAAATGTATGGAACTTCTATTTTCAGATAATATATATTTTTGTGAAAGAAGTTCAGAGCATTAGTGAAGAATATTGGTAGAACAGTAACAAACTTGTCCTTTAAGTAATTAGAAAATTGCCAATAGTTTATTTAACCTCATAAGAAACATATGGAAAAACTTATATTTTATATAATTATACACACATACCTATACACAAATAAACATGAGGTGTTAAGAATGTCTTTAACTAAGGAAAACTAATATAGTAAAAAATACAAAGCTAAGAAACTTTGTGTTTTGTTTGCTGTTTTGTTTTTGTTACATGATGTTGGAAATTATTGCTAAACAGATAAAATTGCTAAAATGTGTGATTTTGTTAATGGAAAACATAATATGATTATCTAGATGTTTTACCCCAAAGAATCCTATTACTGAAGAATATTTATTAGATGTAGAGAATTACTTATAAAGGTTTAATTTTTCAGATAATATTGCTAAATAAAACCCTCCTTTTTAGAAAAGAATAAAATAAAAATCTAAAACTCTAGGGCAAAGTCAAAGGAGATAAAGGTATTATGAAGGTATCTGCCTTCAGAAACCCCCTTCTCTCATGTCTCAGTGCCTCTGTGTAGCTTCCAAACCCTACAGGATAGTACAGGAGAGCAGGGCCAGGCTGCAACTGGCTAGTGGGGCAGACCTACTACCAGCCCTGGCACACGGGCCACTGCTTTCCACCCAAATTCCACCAGGTTTCCTTTTGGTGGAAGTAGAACCACTAAAAGCTTTCTTATATATAAATAATATAAGCAGACTTTACTGCTGGAATAAAAAAACAGAAGATATTAGTATATTTTACATAAAAATATATTAATTGAAAATTATATTTTATATGGACATGTAATTAACATTAATATAATACATGTACACATACATACAGATAGAATACCTACATATATACATATACATATACATAAATATATAACAATATATTTGCATGTGTATTTATGGGAAAACAAAATTGAAACATTCACTGAATTGAATGTTCAATATTGAAACATTCCTTTTTTAGGTTTTTAATAGTTAATGCAAAAAAGTTTTGCAGCAGAATGAGAACATTTACAAGTGAAGATTTATGACACCTTTTGAGCTCTTCTAATAATGGCTTATATATTCTCAGGGAATAACTAGATATGCTTGGAAAATCTGATGCACCATATTACACTTTTTTTGGATATCTAAAAAAGAACAAATGATCTGTAATTATTACAATTCTTTGTATTTAATAATACTGTCTGTTCAATAAAATGTTTTAATACATGAATTTTTAATATTATAAAGATTAATACATTTGTAACATCTAGGAAATATTATATTTCAATTAGGTGATTAACATGTAAAATATTTTTAAATGCGTATTAAATTTTATACTAAAAGAAACAAGAATAATGCTAAGATAAATTAGAAGTATAAATATACATTTATGATTTGTATGTGGTTCAGCTTTTCTAGTCCTGTCTCCTAAGGGTCCGCAGATGCTATGATCATTGCTACCATCACTATACATGTAGAACACTTTAATGTTATAACCATATTTGGTTTCCAATACTATAATACTTTAATAAGCAAAAGGTTCTTTGTCAGTAATTGATATCATAATCATACCTCTGGACCGGACAAATCCTGATTAACATAATAATTCTCAGTATTGCTAGAAAACAAGGTGCTTTCAAACTATCCAGGTAGTGTCAAAATAAAATTTAAACCATTTTAAAGATATTTTACTGACCAAATTGGGAAAATGTGAGCATCAAAATGAGAATAATAATTATAATTAATTGCCAAAATAAAATATTATAACAATAATATGTCCTTAATCAAATACGGGAAGAGAAAATGTAGTGGCAATTTTAGAAACAGGTAAAACTAAATTAATGGTTGTAATACATAAAAGGAAGTGGTTGGTCTTTAAATTAAATATTGATGGAAGAATGTTAACATATACTGGTATTCTATTAAAAAATATCCAGTACATATTAGATTACATAATGTGGATTTATAGTATACTCTGTTGTTAGTGGGGAATGGGAAGTGGGAAAGGAAAGTATTCCTGAAAGATTGGAAAATATCACAAATACCTATTACTAGTGGTTACAGATACAGATGAGATAGAAAGCTGCTCTAATAGTGTATCGCAAGATAATGTATTGGCTAAGTGTCCTGAGAGAAATACCGAAGGTATAGGCTTAATCTATCTGATTCTAAAAGAAAAATAAAACTCGAAGTTTCACTAATCATTATAACTACTCAAAAGACACACTGAAGGACACAATAATGCATCCAGAGGTGGTCAATATCTAATATTGGCCTGTACCATGTAACACTGAAGCAGTGAAATTTGAATAATATATGTGGGTTTTAGGAAGCTAAACTTTTAAGACATAAAGTGATTAAAAATTATGTGTTACTTCCAATTGAATGTGGCTAAATATATCAGTAATTATCTGTGTTATTTTGTTGTAGTTTTTTTTTTTCTTCTGGCAATGTCTTGCTCTGTTACCCAGTCTAGAATGCAGTGGTGTGATCAGGGCTCACTGAAGCCTCAACATCCTGGGCTCAGGGAATCCTTCCACCTCGGCCTCCTGAGTAGCTGGGACTACAGGAATGTGTCACCATGTCTGGCTAATTTTTGTTTGTTTGTTTGTTTTTTGTAGAGATGGGCTCTCACTGTGTTGCCCAGGTTGGTTTCAAACTCCTGGGCTCAAATCAAGCAATTCTCCCACCTCAACCTCCCAAAGTGTTGAGTTTACAGGCGTGAGTCACCATGCCAGTCAATTGTCTATTCTGATAAGAATAATGTAAAAGAGGTTTTGACAACTAAATATAAATGTGTATCTGTATCTACCTATGTATATCTATCATCTATGTATGTATGTATGTATTTCCCAGTATACCTCATACCTGGTCAAACTACAAGACAGGCACAATCTATAAATTGTAAAATTTGTGTAAAATATTATAAACAACTGAGATCAGGAAGAGTGAATGAAGATTAAGGTGGAGAGAATGATGAAGTGAAATTTGAGAGCAAGAAGGGATCAGGTAGAGCAGACCTTTTAGAAGCCAGCAGCAAAATCTTTTAAAAAGGGAGTTGTGCCCTGAGGTGTAAATATTGTATCTCTTATTTGCTGCAACAGGAACTTGGGTGAGCAGGCTTATGGAGTGGATTCATCTAACAGAAGCAGAGGAGTATTCACAGAGATGATCCAAATATTCAGAAATAAGTATGTCCCTGCAGCAGTTGGAAATTGACAATTTACAGCTATACTTAAATAACACCATGGCTCTTCTCCACATATAAGAATTTATCAAAAAAAAAAAAAAACCTTCCCCTTCAGCAAATTTTCTAGCTTCAGAGCCCTCCTTAAACTTGTCTATTGTTCCTACTTAAACTCATTTCATATTCTTCCTAAATATAGCAAAAAGTTTAATCATCTCTCTCTCTCTTTGCCTTTTTATGGATATTCAATATTTTATAGTTTTCATCATGTTTTCTCTTCCTATAATGTTATCTTTGCACTCTATTCCTCCACCCTCCATCTATCATGAAATACCCAACTAAAATAGCACTCTCTCTTTTTCAGCCTTCTATGACTACTTAGAAGCTCACTGGCTCCTCCAAATATTTTTTAAAGTAAAGCATAATTGAACTTTATTCTCAATCATGTTCTGTCTTAAATTACTAATTGTGTCAGTCTTAACACTACAACAGAATGTAAGCCACTAAAGGCTGATTAATCAATTATCTTTTCAGTTAGAGAAGCACAGACTATCTGATGTTATAAGGAAAAGTATTTATTATAGAAATGGCCTTATGACAATGTAGGCAGAGCTTGGGACATAGAGACCTGGAAGTCTTTGGGGGCAGAGTTGGGGAATCAAAGAAGTCATCAACTAATCTTTCCGAAGCATCTACAGGGGTGAAAAGGCAGACACATGCTGGAAGCCACGTATATCCAGCTGTCAAAGTCAGACTACATAGGGGAAGCTTGTGGAGTGGTTTATGGGAAACTGTTGTCTCTGTATAGTGACCACTGCCTAGTGTCTGTTGGTAGGCCGAGAGATGCACTTGTGCAGTAGAGGTGACCCATAGTCAGGAAGGTGGGCTGGACATGTAGCAGAAGAGTGAGAGGAGAAGCTAAAAGCCACCATTGTATCTTTCGTCAGTACTTCTGATCACAACAGAGATTTATGACCACTGTTTTACTTCTACCTCCCAAATTTCGTGTGAATTATTCACTGGCAACCTTTATGCTGATACCATACAGAATAGGGGATTCCCAGATTTACTAAATTGAAAATATAATTAATTACAATAAATTAAATAGAGTTCCACTGCACTTAAGAATAATAGACATCATTGGTTCTTTCTTCCCTCATTATACATTTATTGACTATCCACATATTTATTTGTACTATCATTAAAATGGAAATCAGCAATATTTTGGAAACCATTATTGTTCAGCCTGTAATATAGGTAAACAAAAAATGATTGACATGTAAGCATATATAATGTTAGACAGTGCACATTTTAAATTTGCACATCAAATATTCATAAAAATAAGTAGATAACAATATTCTTCACTTATTAGAACCAATGACTACTTTCTTTTCTGCTTTTTTTTTTTTTTTGAAGTTCAGTATAAACACTAACACACTAATTTAAAACTAGGATGACAATGTTAGCCATGGCTCAGTAACTAAACAGTCCCAAACAATTTATATAGTAAATAATTCCATTGTATTGAATCATCATTCCATAGTATGCTGTCTTCAAAAACCGATATAAGCAACAAATATAAGCAATCAAACACAGTAAATTTGTTTTCATTAGAAAGCTTTAAAATTGCAATTCAGTTTTACTTTCTAATCTTCTTATACGTAACCTCTAGGAACTGCTGGAAGATGAGAGGCACACAGATTGCCTGTCTGCTTCTCATTTCCTCGTCTGGGATTTTTCTGCTTCCAGCAAGCTTAAAATAATCTCTACATAAACAAATCTATTCTTTTGTATTTCTTAGCCTTATCTATCAAGTCCATATCAAGAGTGTGGATATGAACAAAATAATGATGTGGATTGAGAGATTCACTAAGACTTATACCAGACTTGAATATTAATGCAGTATGTGCTTGGCTTTGGAGGAGACAAATCATAGGAGAGAACTATATTGATATTTTTATAATAATACTAGATACTACATCTTATATAGGTTTCAGTAAGATAAATAAACAAATTAGACAAAGTAGACCAGATTTTATAGTAAATACAATGAATTTACTCAAAGTTATAATATGCCTAGTAGCATTTTCTATATCTACAATGTTAAAGAGTTTAGCAATATATATTTCATTCCCAGAAATTATACTGGAGCAAAAGTAAGCAAGACATTCAGAAATATCTTCATCATATACTCATCAGATTGTCAAAGTATACAAAACCAGGAGATCTGAGATGGGCAAAGTCCAGACTACTCTATTAGATGATAGGAAGACTTTGACGTTGTAATAAGCATTTCCTGAAGTTTCTATGGAAAAAAAAATATGACACATGCATACATGTGCATACACAGACACCAAATACACACACACACACACACATAAACACAAGCCATTAAAATAAAGAAAAAATGAGGTAACAAAATTAATACGTTGTATGTATAGATGTCTATGTGATTTCTGTTAACGAAAAAAGCTATTAAAGGTAACATACATGTATTTTTAAGTAATATTAAATAATATTTACATTTAGAGATAAAACTTTAATCTACGTGGAGGCATAAATTACAATTTTGTCTTTTCTTTTTTAGCTTTTATATATTACTGTAGTTTCCCAAGGACAAATTCTAGAAATTATAAACATTTTATGTATATAATATAGATATATTTATAATAATTAAGCATTTAATGGGTAGAAAATAATCCAACTTGTTATATTCATTTAAATTAAAATAACAAATAAATAAGTGGATTTTATAATAAAAGTATGAATGAACAAACAAAACCTGGATATAAGGAAAGTTCTATTCATTTTTGTTTCCATGCTACAAGAAAACAGAACTGTAACAAAGACAAATATATCTTATGATCAATCTTTAATTATCTCTGTGTTTTATTTACAAAATCAGCAGATTTATTTCTGAGTATATTTCTCTTGATGATAACAGATAACATGAGTCCATGTTAAACAATCTACAATGTTTGAGTAAGAGAAATAAGCATATTTTTAATAGTATTTAAATAATCCACCTATGGCTTTTTTTAGTATTTGAAGTTTACTATTTTGCAAGTTTCTCTGTAGTCATTTGCTCTTCCTCTCTTAAACAGAAGAAAGGATGTTCTCTTGACATTTGTGGAAAGTTCCAAAACTAGAAGGCGCCTGCCTACATTCTTATTGTTTTGTTTCATTTATTTTTTATTAGCTTATCTTATAAATTGATACATAAAATTGCATATTATTAACATAGACAATATATATTGAAGTATATATACATTGTAGATTGACTATATCTAGCTACATGCATATGCATTGCCTTACTAGTTATTACTTTTGTGATACAGAAATTCAGTAACAAATTTAAAATAGGTGACTATATTCTTTAAAATCATTTCATCTTCATGTTTGTCTGTCATTATGCATTTTAATTATTTTTGCCTCCAGGAGGCAAATGGGAAAGATTCAAAGGATCACTGAATAATCTTTTTATTTGCAAACATTTATTGTATTATTTACATAGGATTATGTTTAATAAAAAGAAATCTAAATTGCAAGTGACAAATACAAGACATACCAGATTTTGTGTTAATAATTTAATAGTTATTCCAAAACATACTTAATGGGCTCCCTTTCCATATTAAAATACTTCACAGATATTATTTTGTTTTAATTAAATGTACTATAATACATGTATTACATAGTTTAATTAAGTCTTATATGGTGAGACAACCCTTATTTCTTATTGCTTTCTCAATTTAACTCCAGGACACTTTAGTGATAAAGGAAATAAGAAGTTGCTTTGTCCTTCCAAGTGTAGGCAAAAGGCTCCCTACCAACAATATTTCTGCAGTTGTCAATAAAATGCAATTAAGATTGCCAGATTTAGAAAACAAAAACGAACACACAGCATGCCCAGCTAAATTTTAATTTCAAAGGCAAATGATTTTAGTATATCTCGAATATATGCAAGTGGCATACTTATATAAAGTCATCGTTTAACTAAAATTCACATTTAACTGCTCATTCTGCATTTAATCTGGTAACCCCAGCTCCAAATCTGACCTTAAACACTCTATTTTAATAGCTGTGACTATCATGGTCCTACAGAATTGTAAGTGGTTCTGTGATGTGGAAAACCACTGAAGGTTTCAAATGAAGCAACGAAGCTGTTTTTGTTTTCCATATAAAATAAGCCAAGCAAAATGCCTTCATAGGTGGAAATACATTACGGGAACTGACAAATCAATTATAATTGATTTACACATGTCTTTTTATTACATATTATGGTGAATTTAGCAAATTCATTATGAAATACAAATATGCACATCTGCTTAAAGAACCTTTTAGTAAGAATAGTTAAAAACAAAGCGTAAGAGGAATTGACTTGTCCTTTTGTATCCTAGAAAAAAAATGGATTTGGACCTGCTCTTGCTTTTTCTCCTCAGGCCAGCTAGTTAAGTTCAGTGCCTTTGTTTCTCAAAATACAACATGCAGATAAATATGTCCAGTTGCAAAGATATTTAAAAGTTAAAACATGATGATAAAAGTTTTTCAGGAAGCAAAAACGGAAGTATAAACTAAGATATGCACATAAAAATATCAAAACGTCATGTATTTTGGTCATTGAACTGAATCAACTTGAATAATCATTATTTGGTTGAAGGAAAAAAAAGTTACTCCTAAACCTATATGTGAATAATCTTTTTTCATATGTGACATATATCATTTGTTATTCATCTTTTGCCAAAAACTATTTTTTTAGAGAAATTAAAAAAGATTTACAGACATCACAACAAAGTAACCATAACTGACTTTACATTTCACATGAAAACTTGGAACAGTATTATGACAAAATATGAATACATATGTTACAATATGATACATAGACATTAATGAGTATCAAAAATTCTCTTAATACATTTATATTTTTATAGATATATCTATCTTAAGTTTATAATGATACGTATGTCACCAGAACAATCATTTTTGAACAATTTAAAATATCATTTTGGGCCTAATAAGTTATCTCATTCTTAATTTTTCACTATTACTAAGTTTATTACACTCATTTAGTTTTACATAAAAAAACTGAATTTCTTTTTACTTAACTAAAATGTACTTAACTATTTAGAGAATCTCTATTTGCCTAGATTTCTGATAACTATGTATCTTTTTAACAGCTTTTATTGCCATCATATATTTTGAAAGTTGTGAAAATAGCTAATGAGCTTTGTATCTCTAAGAAAGCCCACTTAAATAATTAATTGCTTCTCAAATCTTTCTATGTAGTTTTTCAGTGGCATTTTAGTTATCTTGCGGCATAAATTGACTACTTTCTTTTTTTTTTTTTTTTTTTGAGACGGAGTTTTGCTCTTATTGCCCAGGCTGGAGTGCAATGGCACGATCTCAGCTCACCACAACCTCCATCTCCCGGGTTCAAGCAATGCTCCCGCCTCAGCCTCCCAAGTAGCTGAGATTACAGGCGCACACCACCACACCTGGCTAATTTTTGTATTTTTAGTAGAGACAGGTTTTCACCATGTTGGTTAGGCTGGTCTCAAACTCATGACCTCGTGATCCACCCACCTCGGCCTCCCAAAGTGCTGGGATTACAGGCATGTGCCACCATGCCCGGCCATAGTTATCTACTTTCATTAAAATATTAGTTTTAATGTATCTCTTTGGTAGAATGTTACCAAAATAAATAAAACGTAGGCAAGTTAGCCAAAACATAACATTTATTAAATAATTTAACACAAATTCTGTAATTTTAATTCTTTTCAAAGCATATTTTCTTTCTTTCATAGTTGCTTATTATAAAAATTTAATCAAATTTTTGTGGGTGTCATTCCAGTTTTTTCTTGAATAGACTTATTTTTAAAGAGCATTGTAATCACAACAGTTGTTAGATTGTAGTCATGTCATCTATGATCAATTAAATAAGTCTAGAAATCTAATGTGCCACACAAGAATTATAATTAATAATATTGTGTTGCATACTAAAATTTTTCTAAGAATGTAGATTTTAGCTGTTCTTACACCCCCCGGGCCCCAGTAAAAAATTAAATATGTGAGATGATAAACTTGTCCATTGTCTTGGCTATAGTAATCATTTCATTTTATATTTGTATATCAAAACATCATGCTGTACACTTCAAATATGTGCAATAAAAAATAATGCAACGAACAGTCCACAACCTATGTATGTGTGTATGTGTGTATGTGTATGCATGCACAGTTAGTTCTGGTACATATGTGTTTGATTCTCCAATGGACCAGAAGAATAATTGTAGCTGGGCGCAGTGGCTTATTCCTGTAATATCAGCACTTTGGGAGGCTGAGCCGGGTGGATCATGAGGTCAAGAGATTGAGACCATCCTGGCCAACATGGTGAAACCCCATCTCTACTAAGAACACAAAAATTAGCCGGGCATGGTGGCATGTGCCTATAGTCCCAGCTACTCAGGAGGCTGAGGCAGGGAAATTGCTTGAACCTGGGAGGCGGACGTTGCGGTGAGCCAAGATCATGCCACTGCATTCTAGCCTGGTGACAGAGCAAGACTCTGTCTCAAAAAAAAAAAAAAAAAGAAAAGAAGAAAAGATAATTGTTGCACATGGTATGGGCTAGACTCTGTCAGAGCTCTCAAAAGATAATAGTAAAACAGTCTGAGTCCCTGTAATCTCAGAACATATCCTCTAAAATTAAGAGAGATTTTGTTGATTGTTATAAAAACTTATGGTTAAAATTTGTGGTAAGTAAAAAGAGATGAAATGTATATATGAGTGTGTCAAAGGGAGCTAACTGAGAGATATTTTTAATGAATTAATAGAAATATGTAAAACCAGAAGGAAATTATAATAGTGATAAATTTAAATCAGTAAAACTTAAAAAAAAAAGATAATTTTGTGGCCATTAGAAACCAAAGGTGAGAGAAGTTGAAATTTGAATCATTTTGCTAAAACATTAAAATCACAACCGATTATCAATCATAACCAATATGTGCAGATTCTTAATATGGCCTGTGAAGTAAATACAACCAGAATATAAACATCACAGAAGGTAGAGCTTCTTTAGAAATAAGAGGAATCAAAAGGAAAAAGCAGTAACACCAGAGAAAAGTTTTCAGGATGCACAGAATCTATGTTTATTTTCCCAATCTTGGTTATGCCCTCCCACATAGGAAAAGCATAAATAGAATTTTTATAAAGATGATTGACAGAGAGATAGAGATAGAAATAGATAGATAGATAGATAGATAGATTAGATAGATACACATATGTGGAGGTGTGTGACGAAGTCAATTAATATAGGCAATGCATAAATAATAATTACTATATATATATAAAGGGAAAGTAATATTTTAGTCACAGTAACATTTTAATATATGAAATAAAATATACAGATTCACTTTTTCCTCTTTCCACTGTTTTGAGAAAAATAATATGTTTATTTTTACTCTCTAATTCTAAAACTCACAATGTATGATGATTCACTCATATTTCCAGTGTTTTAATAGATTTCCTCATATTGATAGATGCATTATTTTTCATGCTGGCCAGTAGTGAATCAGAATCTTACTTTTAAATAAATTATTCTTTTAAATCACATAAGATTATTTTTTCAACAAGAAGCATGAATAATCTAAAATGGTTTACACTATTGGATTCTTAAGCAATACTTTGCTGTAGATTAACAAGAGTAAACTTATGTTCTTGAACTACTACCAGTTCTTAATTTGTGGAGTTTAGTGTGAATTTTTATAACAGTGCATTCTGTGTCTCTCATGAAGGATGTTTCAAAATATTATAAACTTGTTTACAAAATGACTTGTAAATTTTGCTACCCATTTTAGTTTTCATTTTTGGTTGTCTTTCTCTTTCTTTGGATATTTAAAATACATGAGAAAATTCACTGTATGCTATGATGATTGCTTTTCTAAATGATTTGTGTGATCTTTTTGCAGATACAGAGAGCACTCAAATAACTTGGTTTTAGTAGACTATAAAGATGAGTGCTGACATATTTTTGTATGTGTTAAGTTGCCTTTAAAGACATGTCAGGAACACTATTAATTTTCTATCTCTTTAGAAACCTGAACATCACCAAACCATTTATGAATCATAGTAAAATATCCTCAGATGCATATAGACAACCTATTTTACAATTTAAAACATGTTTTTAAAATTCACTCAAATGTAAGTAGTTAATAGCCACTCTGCCATGATCAATTACTTCTAGAAAGCCCCTTAAGCCAAGAAAAAATAAAAATTTTTAAAAAACTACATACAACTTTAAGTTTTTTGATTTACTTCCACATCTCACAGTGGTAGAATAATTTCTAACACACTAACACTCCAACTAAGTACATCAACAGCTGGCTAAAATATATAAACTGAAGATAATGAGTGCAACCATGACACCAAGACCTGTGGGATCCAAAAGAGAAAACGGTAGCACAATGAGACCAAACAAGCTTCTAATTTTTCATCAGCTTATGGGAATAAAGGATTTCAAATCTCTCCTTTACTTTGGAAAACTGAGTTTGGGTTAATCTTTCGTATCTGTTTTGCTGTAAACTTAATAAATGGCAACTGTGATACCAGACAAAACTGATTATGATAAAAATGACTTCCAGTTGATAACCTGCATCATAATTTGGAATGCATCGAACCAATTATACATTACTATTAGGGATTCATAGTTTTGGGCATTCCTAAATGCAATGTAACTAGGTAACTAAGAGTTCATCTTCCTAAGTCCATAAAAGTATGCCTGTAGAAATATTATGAGACAGAATAATTCCTACATGGGTATCTCATGTACCAATCCCTGAGGTCTCATTCACTCACATTAAGCTTTCATTGGCAGTCCAACATAAAAGACACTATTGATACAACTCAGCTGGAATTCTGGGTTTCCTGCCCTGTATAGTAAGTAAACTTGGTACCAGGGATGGCCTACAGTTGAGTTTAATTGTCTTGTTTAGTCAAAGTGGCAATTCCAGAACAAGGCAATTTCAAGACATTTACTAATATCCATCTCCACTGGTAGAAACCAAATCCAAAGTATAAAATAGCATTTTGTGTGCATGTGAACTGATCACTGGGCAAAGGAGACAGAGTTGGATTTTGGAGTTAGTGAAGCAGGCTGGAATTCAACACTCGGCCATTTAGAAGAAATGAAATTTCAGAAAAGTGAGCCAAAATTTCTGTGTACAATTCCCTCCCAATAGTTTGTTAGTTCTTTAAACTTCTGAACATTGTTGGAGAGATGAAGAATCAGTGCAGAAAATTAATAAATGGAGCAAAGATTTCAGTAGTCTTATGTTACTTGAATTATTAAGTTGGAGAAGACTGTATAAATATCCCAGTCCTTCAGTTGAGACTGATGGCAGCAGCGGCTCATCTGGATTTGCTGCTGAGGGAATGCCAGCTGCAGCATGACCTGTGACCGAGACTACATGCTCTGTGGAGCTGGTGGGGGCCAGGAACAGGAGGAAGCCTCATCCCCTACTGACTTGGCAGGGTGGGAGTCCCGCACTCCTAGGCACAGCTGCAGCTGTGCAGCCACAGCTCTGGACCCAGGCATCCCTGCGCTTTTAGGGGCCCAGGAAGCCCCCCTGCCCCTAAAGGCTTGGAAGTGTCTGTTCCTACTCCCTGTTCCTGCTCTGATGTTGTAGTAAAGTTGAAGCTAAGCCCAGGCACTGTCAGGACCTGACCAGGTGTTCATGTGCTCAGAACAGTGCTTACACACCAGCCCTCCCATTGCCTCAGTCTCCTCGAAAACTTTGATGAACTCAGTGAGGCAGGCTAGGGGCACTGAGGGAAGCTCGGCATGAACCTGCAGGTGCTCCTCAGCATGAACAGCCTGGGTGCTGTGGACAGCAGGTCCCAGAGTGAGAACTTTTGGTGCTTTTTCCAGGCCTGCCCATGGCCACCCACGGATGAATTAGCATGCACTTTCTGCCTTTTGAACCCATAAAATCTTCAGACTCAGCCAGACTTGGACAGACATCAAGACTACCAGCTTTGGGAAGGAGCTACCCACTTTGGGTCTCCTTGACTCATTGGGATGAACTGCCTGTGGAAAGGAGCTACCCATTTCGTGTCTCCTGAGAGCTGTTCTATCACTTAATGAAGCTCCTCTCCACCTTGCTCACCCTCTAGTTGTCCACATACCTCATTCTTTCTGGATGCATGACAAGAATTCAGGACCTGCTGAATGATGGCACTGAAGGAGTGGTAACTCCAACAGGGCTGAAACACATCCCCACATTCGCCACATTGAGGGCAGCGAGGAGAGAAGAGCTGTGGCCCTTTGGAAAGCCCAGATCTAGGGGTTCCTGAGCCAGGACTATGACACTGTCTTTGGGGCTCTGCTTCCAGGTCCCACTGCATTCCCCTCATCCAGATGTAGACGCCTGCCCTGCTGCAGCAGCTGGCATGCCTGGCTGTGCACAGTGGCCCTCACCGCCCAGGGCCTGGCTCGCCCTTGGCAGGTGAGGGATCTGGGCTGGTATCACAAGCTTAGTGCAGCCTGCCAGGCTGAGTGGGTGAAACAAGCCCAGTGGGTGTGGGCAATATTCAGGCAGAAGGTGGCGCCGACCACAGAGGTTTCCAGCTGGTGAAGCGACACCCCAACAATCCTGTGACAAGATCACATAAGAGCAATTCATAGAGCAAAAAAACTACACCTTAAGAGTAAAGACAAACCAGAAATACATCAGCCTTAATAAACTATATAACACAGCCTCAACTGCATCAAGATAATATGCTTTTATGTATGTATTTTTGACAAAAGGGAAATGAATTCTCACTGAAGGAAAATGTCATCTAGACACTCTATATTCTTTTCCTATGCAATGTTTAAAATTCAATAACAGAAAGTCAGCAAGCATGCCAACAATTGGGATTCCATGACTTAAAACCAGAGAGAGATCAAAAGACAAAATTGACACACACACACAAACACAGATTATCCAGAAATCTGAGATATCAGAAGAGATTTTTTTAAATTATAAGTAATACTTTTAATAAATCATAAATTAGGAAATGGAAAATTAAAAATATTATTTAGTCTATAAGGAAAAAGTTTACTCAAATCTTTTTAGGGGAGAAAATGGTAATTGAGTGTAAATTCTAAAGCTAAATCAATTTAAAATTAAATTACATATTCAATAGAAGGGTTTATAGAAAATTACAAACAAGAAAATGCTAGAATCCGTGAGTTTTAAAATAATTAAAAAATAGTTTAATAATTTAACAATTAAATGTAATTAAATTTAATTTAATAATTTAATAAAAATAATTTAATAATTTAAAATCTGTCAGTTTTAAAATAATTGAATTACACACAGAAATAAAGAGGAATAAGAAAAAAGCAAAAGTGAAATATTGTACATGGTAAAAATATTTACATATTATTATGACATCAGGAGAAAAACATGAAAAAGAAAAGGATAGAAGCTATATTTGAAGAAATATTAGCGTAGATCTCTCTTAATCTGATGAGACATCTGGCCCTAGATTTAAGTTTTATGAACTCCAAGCACTATGAACTCAAAGAAAACTGCGAATAAGTATGCTATAGTAAAAGTGCTGAAAATTGAACACTGGAAAATCTTAAAAGCAGCCATAAGTACACACACACACACACACACACACACACACACACACACACACACACTATGTTTATGGAGCAACTATAACAGACTTTTCAATGGAAACTGTAAAATATATAGAAAAGTATCCCTTACACAAAATAACTCCTCACTTGGAATTATATACTCCACGAAAGTGAGTACAGATAAGGGTGAAATAACAGCATTTTTAACGAAACAAAACTGAAAGAATGTAAATTATCACCAGCAGAACTTCATTAAAGGGAACATTAATGGATATTCTCCAAACCCAATAGAAAATTAACCCATGTGCAAGCAAGAAAATACAAGAAACATGTGAATCACTGGAAAATGTGTGAAAATACAAATTTATATTGTTTAAAATGATAAGAACATTATGTTTGGTTTTAAATTTATATAGAATTAAAATATCTGAAAATGATAGTGGAAAGGATGAGAAGGAAGAGACTAGAATCAAAATAATTTTAGCTTTCTCATTGTCTAGGGAGTAATAAAAGTACTAATTAGACTCCAGTATGTCAAAGAAGCATATGGTAGTCCCTGAGATAATTCTAAAAGATTAATACAGAATGAATAATTAGAAAATTGGAGATGGAGCAAGATGGATGAATAGAAGCTTCCACTGATCATCCTCCCCACAGAAAGAGCAAATTAACAATTGTTTACCAAAAAAGCCCCTGTATAAAAACAAAAAAATCAAGTGAGAAGAGAAGAACGAACAAAGAGGACTTTATCTTGTAATTTGGATAGCAGCTCAGTCACACCAGGATAGGGCACTGGGCAGAGTCATGATGCCCACATTTCAGGCCCTAGTTCCTGGATGAACTTTCCAGACATACCCTTGTCCAGAGAGGAAACCAATGCATTGAAGGGAAGGATTCAGTCCTGGGAGGAATCATCATTGACTGACTAAAGAGCCCTTGGGCCCAGAAACCAGGTAGTAAATACCATGAGCCTTGGGTGAGACTCTGGGTTATGCCGGCTTTGGATGTGACCCAGCACATTCCAAGCAGTGGTGGCCATGAGGAGAGAGTCCTGCTTGAGGAAAGCAGAAGGAAGATTAAAGAGGACTTTTTCTTCCAGTTTAGATACCAGCTCAGCCACAGAGGGGAAGAGCTCTTGGGATCCCCAATTCCAGGCCATGGATCTTAGATGGCATTTCTGGAACTACCCTGGTCCAGAGGCGAGCCTACTGCACTTAGGGTGAGTGCCAAGCCAGACAGCATTCACCACATACTGACTGAAGAGCACTTGGGCCATAAGTAAACATCAGCAGTATCCTGGCAGTGCTGACTGTGGACCTGTGGTGGTGATAGATAGGGAGAGACACTTCTGCTTGTGGAAAGGGGAGGGAAGAGAGAAAGGAACATCATCTTTTGGTTTCAGTGGTAGCCCAGCCACAGTAGAATACAGTACTAGGTAGATTTCTAAGGTTTCTGACTCTAGGCCATGGCTCCGGGACACCATCTGTGGATATGCCCAGGGCCTGGGGAAACTCACCATCCAGAAGGGAAGGACACAGACTAGCTGGCTCTACCATCTGCTGATTTTAGAGACATAGGGCCTTGAGTTTACATTAGCAGTAGCAAGGTAGTGATTACAGTTGGCCTTGGGTGAGACCAGTGATATGCGGAATACCGGTCTTAACCAGAACACTACCAACCAGTAGTGGTGGCCACAGGGGTACTAGTATCCCTCCTCCACTAGCTCTAGACAGCTCAGCACAGAGGGAGACTCTATTTAGGTGAGGGAAAGAAAGGGGAGAAAAAGTCTCTGCCTGGTAATCTGGAGAATACTTCGGAAGCTTATTCAAGATCACCAAGGCAGAAACCATAGAGTCTTCAAGAAGAGCAGTGCTACTGGGCTTGGGGTACCACCTAATGCAGAAATGGATGTAGTGACTAAAAACTTAGATTGCAACATCCAGGTCCCTTTGATTACCTAAAAATCCTTCCCTAGAAGGACAGGTACAAACAAGCCAAGACTGGGAAGACTACAATAAATATCTACCTTTTCAATCCCCAGACACTAGCAAACATCCACAAGCATTAAGACCATTCAGGAAAACAAGATCTCACTAAATGAACTAAATAAGACATCAAGGACAAACCCTGGAGAGAAAGAGATTTGTGAACTTTCAGAAAGAGAATCCAACATAGCTATTCTGAAGAAATTCGAAGAAGTTCAAGATAACACAGAGAAGGAATTCGAAATCATATCATATAAATTTAACAAGGAGATTGAAATAATTTCAAAGAATCAAGCAGAAAATCTGAAGTTGAGAAATGCAATTGACGTATTGAAGAATGGTTCAGAGTCTCTTAACGCAGAATTGACCAGGCAGAAGAAAGAATTAGTGAGCTCAAAAACAGGCTATTTGAAAATACACAGTCAAAGGAGACAATAGATAAAATAAATAAGAAAAAAGCACTGCTACCAGATCTAGAAAAGAGCCTCAAAAGGGAAAATATAAGAGTTATTGACATTAATGAGGAGGTAGAGGGAGAGATATGGGTAGAATGTTTAATTAAAGAAATAAAAACAGACACTTCTCAAACCTATAGCAAGACATCAATATTCAAGACAAGAAGGTTACAGAACACCAAGCAGATTTAACCTAGACAGGACTACCTCGAGGCTTTTAATAATCAAACTCTCAAAGGTCAAGGATAAAGAAAGGATCTTAAAAGCAGCAAGAAAAAAAAACTTATACAAACATTTCGATATGTCTGGTAGTAGACTTCTCAGTGGAAACATTGTAGGTCAGGAAAAAGTGGTATGACATATTTAAGGTGCTGAAGAAACAAACAAATACAAAAACAAACTTTTACCCAGAATAGTAAATCTAGCAAAACTATCTTTCAAGCATGAAGGAGAAATAAAGACTTTCCCAGACAAAGAAAAACAGAGAATTCATCAATACCAGACCTGTACTACAAAAAGTGTGAAGGGAATACTTCAATCTGAAAGAAATGGACATTAGTGAGCTGTAAGAAATCATCTGAAGGAATGAAACTCACAGTAAATATACAGAAAAAGACAGAATGTTATAGTAATGTAATTTTGGTGTGTAAACTCTTATCTTAAGTAGAAAGACATAAAGATGAACTGATAAAAAATGACTATATAACTTTTGAACATATAGACAATGGAAACTACAAAAATACAAGATATAAATATAAAAGATATAAATAGAAGATGTAAAATATATAAATAGATATATAAATAGGAACAACAAAAATTTAAAAAGCAGGAGGATAAAGTTAAATGGTAGAGATTTTGTTGTTTTTTTTCTCTGCTTCTGTTTTAGTTTGCAATCAGTGTTAAGTTTTCACCAGTTTAAAATAATCAGTTATAAGATAGTATTTGCAAGCCTCTTGGTAACCTCGAGCCTAAAAAATATAATGGATACATAAAAAATAAAAAGCATGAAATTTAAAGATACCAGTAGAGAAAATCACAGAGAAAAGGAAGAAAGAAAGAAGGAAATAAGGAAAAATCTTCCTCAAAACAACGAGAAAACGAATAACAAAATGACTGGAGGAAGTCTTTATTCGTTATTAATAACATTGAATGTAAATGAAATAAAGTCTCCAACCAAAAACACAGAGTGACTGAATGGATAAAGAAAAAAAAAAATCCAATAACCTGTTGCCTACAAGAAACACTCTACCTAGAATGACATACATAGACTGAAAATAAAGGGAAGGAAACCAAAAATAGCAGGAGTATCTATACTTGAAAGAGACAAAAAAGATTTCAAGACAAAAACTATAAAAAGAGCCAAAGAAGGTCACTATATAATGATAAAATAATCAATCCATTGAGAAGATACAACAACTGTAAATATATATATACCCTCAACACTGGAGCACCCAGATATATATAGCAAATAATATTAGAGCTAAAGAGAGAAACAGCTTCTGATACAATCATATCTGGAGACTTCAACACTCAGCTTTTAGTATTGGACAGATAGTCCAGACAGAAAATCAAGAAAATTTTGGACTTAGTCTACACAATAGACCCAACGGGCCTAGTAGATATTTACAGAACCTTTCATTCAACAGTTACAGAATATACATTCTTCTCCTCAGGACATGGATTATTCACAACAATAGACCATATGTTAGGCCATAAAGCAAGTTTTAACATATTAAAAATTTGAAATAATATGAAGCATCTTCTCTGACCACAACACAATAACATTAGAAATCAATAACAAGAGGAAGTTTGGAAACTATACAAACATATGAAGATTAACAATATCCTCCTAAATGACCACTGGGTTAATGAAGAGATTAAAAAGCAATTTGAAAAGTTTTTTGACCAATGATAATGGAAACATAACATACAAAAACCTACGGAATACAGCAAAAGGAATAGTAAGAGGGAAGTTTGTAGCTATAAGTGTCAACATCACAACATAAGAAAAACTTCAAAATGAGCAACCTAGTGATGCCTCTTAAAAAACTAGAAAAGCAAGAGCAAAGCAAATACAAAATTAGTTGAAGAAAAGAAATAATAAACATCAGAGGATAAATGAAGTTGAAATGAAGAAAACAATACAAATAATCAATGAAATAAAAAAATTAGTTTTTTGAAAATATGAACAAAATTAACAAAACTTTAGCCAGACTAAGAAACAAAGACAGACTATAATAAAGAAAACCAGAGATGAAAAAGGAGACATTATGTCTGATACTGCAGAAATTCAAAGGATCATTAGAGGCCACTATAATAAACTCTGTGCCAATAAATTTAAAAACCCAGAAGAAAGGAAATAAATGTTTAGACATATACAACCTACCAAGATTAAAACATTAAAAAATCCAAAGCAAGATCAAAGCCATAATAAAATGTCAACCATAAAGAAAAGCCCAGGACCTGATGGCTTTACTGTTGATTTTACCAAACATTTAAAGAAGAATTAATACCAATCCAGCTCGAACGATTCCAAAACATAGAATCAAAGGCAATACTTTGAGAGGCAATCTATGAGGCCAGTATTACCCTGATACCAAAATAAAGGTGCATCATAAAGAGAAAACTACAGGCTTATATTCCAGATGAACAATGAAGTGAAAATCCTTAACAAATATTAGCAAACTAAGTTCAACATGGCATAAAGAAGATCATTCATCATGACCAGGTGAGATTCATTTGAGGTATGAAAGGATGTTCACAAATCAAGGTTATATATCATATCAACAGAATAAAGGACAAAAAGATACAATTTTTAAATTCATGGTGAGAAACATTCAATAAATTTGAACATCCCTTCATGATAAATACCTGTAAAAGCTGGTATAGAAGGAATATACCTCAACATAATAAAATCCATATATGACAGACCCACAGCTAGTATCATACTGAATAGTGAAAAACTGAAAGTCTTTTCTCTAAAATCTGAAACATGAAAAAGATGCACATTTTCACCACTGTTATTGAAAATATTACTGGAAGTCCTAGCTAGAGAAATCAGATAAGAGAAAGAAAGAAATAGCATCCATTTATTTTTAAAAGCTGACAACTTTTTATGATTCTTTGAATAGACAGTTCCTAAAAGTGTAACTCAGATATTAATGAGCTGTGTATTAAATGGTTTCATTTTCAGTTTTGCAGCACAGAACACTGTTGAAATATCCGTATCAATTTGATTTTTTAACCTAATTTAGATGTCCTTTGACATCTCTTAAATGTTGGAGGTGGGGGTCAGAGCCAATTATCTGGCTTCTATTTTGTCGACTGCTTAGATTTGTTCCTGTTGTCAAAACCGTTGCCCCCAAAATTCATGTGACACATGCTCATGCATAAAATGTTAAAATGAGTACATCATTGTATTTGTATTTGTTTTCAACATCGCCAAGATGCTATGGGAAATTAAAGTAACAAAATTAGAAAAAAATAAAATTATTAAAAAGTAAAAAAAAAAAAATCCAAATTGGAAAGGAAGAAGTCAAATTATCTGTGTTTGCAGATGATACAATCTTATATTTGGAAACATCTGAAGACTCAACCAAAAAAATCTAAACCAAAAAAATCTATTGGAACTGATCAACAAATTCAGTAAAGTTCCAGGATGCAAAGTCAAAATACAAAAATCAGTAGCATTTCTATATGCCAACAGCCAAAATTCTAAAGAAGAAATCAAGAATCTTGTCATATTTACAGCAGCTATAAATAAAAAATAATACCTAGGAATTAACTTATCTAAAGAAGTGATTTGTCTCTGCATTGAGAACTATAAAACACTGAGGAAATAATTTGAAGAGGATACAAAAAAAAAAAAAAAATGTGGCTCACGCCTGTAATGCCAGCACTTTGGGAGGCCAAGGTGGGTAGATCACCTGAGGTCAGGAGTTCGAGACCTGCCTGGCCAATATGGTGAAACACCATCTCTACTAAAAATACAAAATTAGTAGGGCATGGTGGCACGCACCTGTAATCTCAGCTACTCTGAAGGCTGAGGCAGGAGAATTGCATAGGACGTAGGAGGCAGAGGTTGCAGTGAGCCAAGATTGTGTCACTGCACTCCAGCCTGTGTGACAGAGTGAGACTCTGTCTCAAAATAAAATAAAATAAAATAAAATAAAATAAAATAAAATAAAATAAAATAAAATAAAATAGCGGAACGTATTCCACGTTCATGGGTTCAAATTGGAAACGTCAGTATTGTTAAAATGTCCATACTACCCAAAGCAATCTACAGATTCAATAAAATCTTTATCTAAATACCAATGATGTTATTCATAGAAATAGGACAAAACAATTTTAAAATTTATATGGAACAACAAAAGACCCAACAGAAACTCTGCAAGCTACAAGGTATCGGGGTAATATGTTTAGCCTCCTTACCCAAAGCAATTATCGGCCAAGAATTTTGTATCCAGAGAAATTAAGCTTCATAAAGGAAGGGAAGATACAGTCTTTTCCAGACAAACAAATGCTCAGACTATTCACCACTACCAAGCCAGCACTACAAGAATGAGCTCTAAATCTTGAAGAGAAAAAAAAAACAAAAAACCTTGAAATACACCAAAATAGAGCCTCTTTAAAAGATAAATCTCACAGGACCTATATAACAATAACACAAGGAAAAAAATACCAAGGTATTCAGGCAACAAATAGCATAATGAATAGAATAGTACCTCACATCTCAATACTGACACTGAATGTAAATGGCCTAAATGCTGCACTTAAAAGATACACAATGGCAGAAATAGATAAGAATTCACCTGCTGTCTTCAGGAGACTCACCTAACATCTAAGGACTCACATAAACCTAAGGTAAAAAGATGGAAAAAGATATTCCATGCAGATGGACACCAAAATTGAGCAGGAGTAGCTATTCTCATATCAGACAAAACAAACTTTAAAGCAACAGCAGTTAAATAAGACAAAGAGGGACATTATTTAATAATATAACAACTAGTCCAATGGGAAAATATTACAATCCTAAATATATATGAACCTAACACTGGAGACCCCAAATTTATAAACAGTTACTACTAGACCTAAGAAATAAGGTAGACAACAACACAATAATAGTGGTTGACTTAATATTTCACTGACAGCACTAGACATATCAACAAGACAGAAAGTCAACAAAGAAACAATGAAACATTCTCCAAGATACACTATATGATAGGCCACAAAAGAAGTCTTAGTAAATTTAAGAAAAATCAAAATTATGTCAAGTACTCTCTCAGACCTCAGCGGAATAAAATTGGAAATCAACTCCAAAAGAAACTCTCAAAACCATGCAAATACATGGGAATTATATAACCTGCTCCTGAATGATTGTTGGATCAACAATGAAATCAAGATGGAAATTAAAAAATTATTTGAATTGAATGATAATAGTGACATGACCTATCAAAACCTCTGGGATACAGCAAAAGCAGTGCTAAGAGGAAAGTTCATAGCATTAAATGCCTACACCAAAGTCTGAAAGAGCAAAAATAGACAATCTAAGGTCACACCTCATGCAACTAGAGAAACAAGAACAATTCAAACCTAAACCCAGCAGAAGAAAAGAAATAACAAAGAACTAAGTAAAATTGAAAAAATTAACAAAAAAAAATACAAAAGATAAATGAAACAAAAAGCTGGTTCTTTGAAAAGATAAATAAAACTGATAGACCATTAGTGATATTAACCAAGAAAAGAATAGAGAAGATTCAAATAAACTCATTTGGAAACAAAATGAGAAATAATACAATTGATATCACAGAGATACAAAAGATTATTCAGGCCTACTATGAATATCTTTGCACACATAAACTAGAAAACCTAGACGAGATAGATAAATCCCTAGAAATATACAATGCTCCTAGACTAAACCAAGAATATATCGAATCTCTGAACAGACCAAAAACAAGTAGCAAGATTGAAATGGTAATTAAAAAATCGCCAAAAACAAGAAAAAATCCAGGACTAGACAGATTCACAGTGGAATCCTATCAGCCATTCAAAGAAGAATTGGTACCAATCCTGTTGACACTATTCCACTAGATAGAAAGAGGGAGTTCTCCCTAAATCATTCTAAGAAGCCAGTATCACCCTAATACCAAAACCAGGGAAGAACATAACAAAAAAAGAGAACAACAGACCAATATCTCTAATAAACATAGATGCAACAATCTTCAACAAAAAACTAATGAACCAAATCCAATAGAATGTCAATAAGATAATCCACCATGATCAAGTGGATTTCGCCTCAGGGATGCAGGAATGGTTTAACATAAGTCAATGAATGTGAAACACCACAGAAATATAATTAAAAATAAAAATTACATGATCATCTCAATAGATGCAGAGAAAACATTTGGCAAAATTCAGCATCACTTTCTGATCAAAACCCTCAGCAAAACTGGCATAGAAGGCACATACCTTAAGATAATAAAAGCCATCTACAACAAGCCCACAGCCAACATTATACTGAATGGGGAAAAGCTGAAAGCATTCCCCTGGAGAACTGGATCAAGAGAAGTTTGCTCACTTTTTCCACTTATATTCAACATAGTACTGGAAGTCTTATGAACCTAACACAATTGGACAAGAGAAAGAAATAAAAGTCATCCAAATTGATAAAGAAGAAGTCAAAGTGTCGCTGTTTGTTGATGATATTATTGTATACCTAGAAAACCCTAAAGACTCATCCAAAAAGCTTCTAGAACCGGTAAATGATTCAGCAAAGTTTCAGGATACATAATTAATATACACAAATATGTAGCTCTGCTATACATCAGTAGCAACCAAGCTGAAAATCAAATCAAGAATTCAACCCCTTTAAAATAGCTGCAAAAGAATAAAATACTTAGGAATATATCTCCCCAAGAACATGAAAGACCTCTACAAGAAAAACTGCAAAACAATGCTGAAAGAAATCATAGATGACACAAAGAAATGGAAACACATCCCATGCTCATGAATGGGTAGAATCAATGTTGTGAAAATGACCATACTGACAAAAGTACTCTACAAATTCAATGCAATTTCTATCAAAATACCACCATCATTCTTCACAGAACTAGAAAAAACAATCCTAAAATTCATATGGAACCAAAAAAGAGCCCACATATCCAAAGCAAGACTAAGCAAAAAGAACAAATCTGGAGGCATCATGTTATCTGATTTCAAACTATACTATAAGACCATAGACACCAAAGCAGCTTGGTACTGATATAAAAATAGGCACATAGACCAATGAAACAGAATAGAGAACCTAGAAATAAAGCCAAATACTTATAGCCAACTGATCTTTGACAAAACAAAATAAAGTGGGGAAAGGACACCCTGTTCAGTAAATGGTGCTGAAATAATGGGCAAGCCACATGTACAAGAATGAAATTAGGTCCTCACCTCTCTCCTTATACAAAAATCAACTCAAGATGGATCAAAAACTTAAATCTAAGACCTGAAACCACAAAGATTCTAGAAGATAACTTGGGAAAACCCTCCTAGTTAGGCAAATAATTCGTGACCAAGAACCCAAACACAAATGCAACAAAAACAAAGATAAATAGATGGGACTTAATTAAATTAAAAAGCCTCTGCACAGCCAAAGAAATAATTAGCAGAGTTAACAGACAACCCACATAGTTGGAAAAAAATCTTCATAATCTATACATCTGACAAAGGATTAATATCCAGAGTCTACAGAAAACTCAAACAAATCAGCAAGAAAAAAAAAATGTCATTGAAAAGTGGGCTAAGGATATGAATAGACAGTTCTCAAAAGAAGATATACCAATGGCCAACAAGCATGTGGAAAAATGCTCAACATCACTAATTATCAGGAAAATGCAAATTAAAACAACAATGTGATACCACCTCACTCCTACAAAAAATGGCTATAATAAAAAAATTAAAAAATAGATGTTGGCATTGATGCGGTGAAAAGGGAACATTTTTACAATGTTGGTTGGAATATAAATGAATACAACCACTATAGCAACTAGTGTGGAGAGTCCTTAAATTACTAAAAGTAGATATACTGTTTGATCCAGCAATCCCGCTACTGGGTATCTACCCAGAGAAAAAAGTCATTATACAACAAACATACTTGCACACACATGTTTATAGCAGCACAATTTGCAATTGCAAAAATGTGGAACCAGTCCAAATGCCCATCAATCTGTGAGTGGTTAAAGAAAATGTGATATATATATGTATGTATATATGTATATATGTGTATATATGTATATGTATATATGTACATAATATATATGTGTATATATGTATATGTATATATGTACGTGTGTGTGTGTGTGTGTGTGTATATCTTCATGGAATACTACTCAGACATAAAAAGGAATGAAATAATGGCATTCTCAGTGACCTGGATGGAATTGGAGACTATTATTCTAAGTCAAGTAACTCAGGAATGGAAAACCAAACATTGTATGTTATCACTTATATGTGGGAGCTAAGCTATGAAGACACAAAGGCATAAGAATGATACAATGGACTTTGGGGACTCAGGGGAAAGGGTGGGAATTGGCGACAGATAAAAGACTACACATTGGGTAGAATGTACACTGCTCAGGTGATGGGTGCACCAAAATCTCAGAAATCACCACTAAGCAACTTATTCATGTAACCAAACACCACCTGTTCCCCCAAAACTTATTGAAATAAAAAAATACATATTTTTAAAAAAGCTTTAGTCAAGTCTGCCATGTTGTCCTCAGAATATAAAACCCAAGGTGGACTGTTTTCTAAGATCCCTTAATTGCCGTACAAGTGGAGCAGCTGAGACTACATCTGCCCTAGACAGCTTCCCTGAATGTTAAGGGACTAGCTCATCATAAGTCCTAGGCCTCTGTAGTCTCTTGCTGCTTATCTATGAGTAATAAGCCTCATTGAAGTAACTCGTGTGTGTGAGTGTTGTGTCTCAATGGACTCAAGTAAGTAATAAAAGTGTAACCCAGGATGTAGTCAGCAGAAATGGTAACAGGACCACAAAAAAGCTTCTTTGTAAGAAATAAAAAGTGGAGTATTCACACAATGAAGTACTACACTTCAATGAATGAAATAAAATGAATATATGCAATAAGAACTATGCATTTCACATAAAATATATTGAGTGAATTAATCCACAAAAGAATACATACTTTATGATTTCATTTATATAATTTTAAAAAACAATGACAAGATGACAGACTGGGTTTTCTATAATACTGATATCTCAACCTTAATGTAAAAAATTAATCTAGTTGTATATTTAAATTATTTTATATTTATATTTTATTTAAAATATAATTAAGTGATATATTTTATAAAAAACTGAATTGTCAAAAATATCTTGTCAATTATTTTAAATATGTTGCATAACGAGAGAGGTAAGATGAAAGCTTCTGTCATAAATGAGGCTCATAATTGGAAGAGGACAGTACTTTTTTAAAAAAATGCAAATAACAAACTATTAATTCCATATGTACAGAAGCAAGTACTTCTATTGAAATAACAGCATTTTATGTATATACAGAGGAAAAACAAATTAATTCCAAAAGGGAATCAAGAAGAGGTCCATGGAGTATAATTTAAACTTGTAAATGAAAGGATTTTTAGAATTTCAATAAGTAGTAGGACATTGGTAAGGTTTGTTTAAAAGAATTTGTTACACTTAACAAATCATGTTAAACTATAAAACTATAGGCCACTTAAGCCAGGCAAACTATGCTTAATTCTGACATAAATAGTATTATCATATAATCAATGACATTTTATACACCAGTGGCAACTCTGACATTTCTAAATGTGAACATTCTTCTTCTCCAAATCTAATAAAACCATTTCTTGAATAATCTTTACCATCCGTAACAGAACTCAGAGAAAAAGAAAAATCATCAGAGCACTGCAACAGAGAGTAACACAGGGAAAATTCATTCTCAGAATAATAGAGGGCAGGTAGTTTTGAAAATCGTAAGAAAAATAGTAAGTCTACTTATGTCCCAGTACCGCACAGGGTTTCAGTAGTTGTTAGCAAAAATATTATTTCTACATATAAAAATACCTTGAAAGCGAGGAGAGTGGAAGTGTGAACACTAAGCATTAACAGCTAGAGAACCTGAGGAGTCCCTGCAGTCATTATCAAATCTCTAATACATAGAAAGTAATGATTCTGCCACAGAACAGTGTGTGAGGAAGACAGCATTAGGCACAGACAAAGACTGGCAGGTAATAGAGCACGATGATTAAGGGGACAGAGCCATTTTTCTTAACTATGTCTGTAATGTGTGTAAATATGAGCAATGACATATAATTTAAATTAGATTCTTTTAAAAAATGTAATAAATTACAGTTTATTTTATTATGTACGTTAAGGAAATCTTAACAAACTCGTGATGCAGTGAAAAGGATTGATCCTAAAATACTGAGAATTACCTATTTGTGAAGTGATAAAGATGGAGAAAGAGTTCAGTCAATTATAAGAACTGATCCCACCCACACTGGGACCTACCCTGAATGCCTACAAAAAGCAGCCAGAAGAAGCAGTTTGGCCAAGTTACCGCCAGATATCTAAAGCTCTGGATTTATTCAGGGGATGAATGAGAACTGTAATTTCTAAAGACAGATTGATCATACTGTGGATTCTATCTAGTTTGGGTAAAACACACTAGAGTTTAGTTATCACAGGATTGCACTGATGCAGAGAATGATAAATCATTAACTGTAATGGAGAGATAAAAGGACCCCACTCTTGAAGTGCTGTGAAGAATAAAAGAAAAGGAGAAGATACATGAGCTTGAGTAACTGCTGTCTCTAGAGGAAGCCCTTTGCAAGGAGAAACTCCTATGCAGGGATAGTCTAGGTTATTGAATGCCTGATACAAGAGGATTAAAGTAAGTCCCATTTTTGTAATAGGATTAGAATGTTTACATAGAGTGAGAGATCTGAGAATTAAGCATTGACAGTTGAGGCTTGGGAAAAGCTCCTGGACTTGAGAAATGAAATAGGACCTGAAAAAGTCGTAAACACAACAGAATGTATTCTTTTTGAGGACTGGCTGCTGCAATTGCAAGCCTTGACTGTGGTATCATATTTAAAATGCAGAAATACAGAAAAAGTATCAATAGTCAACAAACACACCTATTTCCTTTAGTAGAATGAACAACTTAATATTTATTTCCAGTCTATTTTTACCATACAAACATTTAAAATATTCTAATATATGCATGCATTCTCCTTTACAAAGAGCTGTATAGATAAATAAGGCCCTTTGGAAAATTTCCTCCATCACTGACAGGTGCATTTTCACTCTCTTCAGCCTCAGAGGAAATCGCTGTCATGTGCTTACTGTGTATCATCCATGATAGGTCTATTCTTTGTTACTAAATAATACCCATTATTCTCCAAATTAACTGTCCTAATTCTCCCTGTCATAAGGTATTATAGAAATTATTTTACTGTATCCCTAAATATTTTTCCAAATATGAGACATGAAAATAAAAATAAGATCACTCTCTCTTTTTATGTGTGGGTTGCTTTAGTGCCTCTGATAAAAATCAGTGTGTAAGTGTGGGTTTATTTCTAGCTTTTCTATTTTGTTCCAGAGATCTATTTGTCATTTCTTATGTCAATAATACATTGTCTTGATGACTGTAGCCTCATGGTAAGTCTTGAAATTAGGTAGTAAATTCATCTGCTTTGTTTCCTTTTTAATATTGTTGTCTCTTCTACCCTCTTTGCATTTCCATGTAAAATTTAGGCTCAGCATGCCTGTTTCATGCAATGTATTCCCATTCAGAAATCCTCCTGGGGATTTGATTGAAAATACTTTGAATCTTCAAATCAATTTTAGGAGAATTGACATCTTATCAGTATTGAGTCTCCTGATCTATGGTTATGATATATCTCTACATACATTTATTTAGATTTTACCCAATTTCTCTCAGCAATGTTGTGTATTTTTCAGCACAGAGTTCCTGAACATCCTATGTTAAATTTATTCGTATTTTGTTGTTAGATGGTGATGTGGTTTGCCTCTGTGTCCCCATGCAAATCTCATCTTGAATTGTAATCCTTATGTGTTGAGGGAGGGATCTGTTGGGAGTGACTGGATCATGGGGGCAGTTTCCCCCATGCTGTTGTCATGATAGTGAGGGAGTTCTCATGAGATCTGGTGGTTTTAAAAGTGGCAGTTTCCCCTGTTTTCTCTCTCTCTCCTGCTACCTTGTGAAGAATGTACCTGCTTCTCCTTCACTTTCTGCCATTATTGTAAGTTTCCTAAGGCCTCCCCAGCCATATGGAACTGTGAGTCAATATAAGCTCTTTTGTTTATAAACTACCCAGTCTCAGGTAGTATATTTATGGCAGTGTGAGAAAGGACTAATACAGATGGTATTGCAATGATTTTAATTTTCAATTGTTCGCCACTAATATATTCAGTTGACCCTTGGACAACACAGTTTCTAACTGCATATAGATCCATTTATAAGTGGATTTTTCTTGTAATAAATACAATCAGTTCTTTTTATCAAGAAGCTCCACATACACAACAAAAAGCTAATCAGTATTTGAGGGATATGAAATCCACATATATGGAGGGCTGACTTCTTCAATATTCCCAGATTCCATAAAATCAACTTGAGTTGAGCTGATTTTGGTATACGCAGATGTTCCTGGAAACAATCCCCCAGAGGTACTGAGGAATGACTCTCTCTCTCTCTCTCTCTATGTATACATATATGTATACATATACACATATGTATATATATGCATATGTATATATGTATACATATATGTATATATGTGTATATATGTATATATATGTGTGTTTATATATATACATATATATGTGTATATATATATCTACTTTTTAAAAATTTAGCCTTGCAGCCTTCAATTTTGTAAAATTTGTGTGTTAGTTCTAATAGTTTTATACATTGTTTAAGATTTTCTGCATAAACAATAATGTCATCTCCATCTTATAATATGTTTACTTCTTCTTTTTCAATATTTATGTCTTCTATTTCTTTTTGTTGCCTTATTGCTATGGTCTTATATCTGCAATACAAAGTTGAATGAAAGAGGTATCCTTATCATTCTCCTGATCTTAGGGAAAGAGCTTTCAGTATTTGGTCATTAAGTTTGATGTCACCTTTAGGGTTTTTAATCAAATTGGAAGTTCTTATTATGAATGGGTAAAAAATTTTTTCAAATGCTTTTTGTCTGGTTGTGAGAATTATTGTATAGTTTTTTTATTGTGTTAATTTATAAGTTATAATTTTTGTACCTTGGATCTTCAATAAACTTTTCATTTCTCAGAAAAGTCCTGTATCTGTACTATATAGAGATGTGACTTACTAATAAGTTATTAAGCATATTGGGTGTATGTTTATGAGAAATATTTATTGTTAATATTCTTTTATTTATATTTCTGTGTAATTCTGTCATTTTGCTATTTAGGTTTATATTGGCTCTATAAAATAAGTTGAAAAGTGTTCCTTGGTCCTGTATTTTCTTAGAGATTCGGGATAAAATTGATGCTTTCATTCCATAAATGATTGATAGAATTCGTTAATGATATTTGCCATTATAAACTATCTTTATCATTTTTGAAAGATTAGATTTTCTCTCTATATATGATACTATTTACCTTCACCTGAGGAATTTTCTTTAACATGCATTTTAAAGTACATCTGCTAATGACAAATTCTTGGTTTTCTTTCATGTGCAGCCATCTTTATTTTGTCTTCATTTTTGAAGGATATTTTGCTGTACATGGAATTCTGGGGTCAACCAGTGATTTAGCTTAGTTTTTATGCACATGATTTGGAGTCCACAGTCAGTGCCTTTTTTTTTTTTTGGTTGACCTCTTTACGTTTTTATACCTTTGCTTTCTCCAAATTCTGTCTGATTCTTAAAGCCAGAAAAACTAGCTTTTCTGTTACCTCATAGCACTCTACATAGAACAGAGACAATCCCTAGTCATAGCCTTTCATTGGACTCATTTTTTGGTGGGATGTCTAGTTTTAATCTGTAATGTGGTATATTCAATAGAAATTTAATTAATTATAAGAATCTTCAATTCTTTTATAAATCGTGTTCTTAGTGTTCTCATCTTTTACCCATAGCATTATTTTTAAAGTGAGTTTTCAGATGGAATGGTGTAGACTTTCAGTCTGGATCAATCATATTTTATTGGAGTCTAATATGGTAGAAAAAAGGAATCCTTTCCTTGTGAGCCAGAGAATGTTCACACACATGTGCAAGTAAATTTTATCATATTCTTTAATTTTTTGTTATTCTACATTAACTCTACTTAACAGAATACTTCTTTGTAAACAATTTTTGGGTTTTTGTTTTTGCAAACAATTTGTGGGTATATAGTAAGTGCATATATTTATGGGGTACTTTAGATATTTTGATAGAGGCATGCAATGTGTAATAATTATATCACGAAGAATGGAGTATCCATCTCCTCAATAATTTATGCTTTGTGTTACAAACAATCCAATTATACTCTTTTAATTTCTTAATGTGTAAAATTAAGTTACTATTGACTATAGTAACCCTGTTGTGCTAACAAACAATAGGGTTTATTCTTTAACGATTTTTTTTACTCATTAACCATCTCTATCTCCCCCACACCTTACTGCTATCCTTCCCAGTCTCTAGTAACCATTTTTCTACTCTTTGTCTCCGTGGGTTCAATAGTTTTGATTTTTAAATACCATAAATAAGTGAGAACATGCGATGTTTGTCTTTCTGTGCCTGGCTTATTTCACTTAACATAATGATCTCCAGTTTCATCCATGTTGTTGCAAATGACTGGGTATCATTTTTTTTTCATGGCAGAATACTACTCCATTGTGTATATGTACCACCTTTTCTTTATTCATTCATCAGTTGATGGACACTTAGTTGCTCCAAATCTTGGCTATTGTGAACAGAGCTTCACATGCAACAAACACAGGAGTTCAGATATCTCTTTGATATACTGATTTCTTTTCTTTGGGGAGTGTACTTAGCAATAGGATTACTGGATCATATGGTAGCTCTATTTCTAGTTTTTTGAGGAATCTTCAAAGTATTCTTCATAGTGGTTGTAATAATTTACATTCCCACCATTCGTGCATGAGGGATTCCTTTCACTCTGCATCCTTGCCAGCATTTGTTATTGCCTGTCTTTTGGATAAAAGCCATTTTAAGTGAGGTGAGATGATAATTCATTGTAGTTTTGATTTGCATTTCTCTGACAATCAGTGATGTTGGACACCTTCTCATAAACCTTTTTGCCATTTGTATGTCTTTCTTTTGAGAAATGTGTATTCAGATCTTTTGCCCATTTTTTGATCAGATCATTAGATTTTTTTTCGGTAGAGTTGTTTGAGCTCTTTATATACTGTGGTTATTAATTTATTGTCTGATGGGTAGTTTTCAAATATTTTCTCTTATTCTGTGGTTTGTACTTTGCAATTTTTTAATACAATAGTTGTGACTTATTCATTTAAGTATCTGTCTTTTCCAATAATATTTTCTGTGCATATTTATGTCTTTTTACAAAAACACAACCGTTCCCTTTGGTATTAGGTAAAGCCTAGAAAACCTTTTACATTTTAATACATATTAATTTACTACAGAATTTTTGATAAGTGATTTTTAAAAGGTATTTTAGCATAATATTTTTCAAACTTTGCATGCCTCAGATTCTTCAGGAAAGCTTCTTAAAACAAAGATTCCTTACCCCTCCTCTAAATTCTGATTCAGTGGTTCTGTAGTAAAGACCAAGAATTTTCAATTATAAAACTTTCCTGGTTACTCTGATGCCAAATATCTGAGCACCATACTTCAAGTAGCTCTGCCCTAGTTAATTAGGCATTTCTTTAATTTGAATAGTCATGTGGTTTATAGTTTTAATATTGTAAAAATATTTGACCATATATTGTTGGATGTTTTTTAAAATATTTTAATAAGATTTAAGTGAATACAAGGATTTGGCCATTTAAAAATATTTTATGCAGATTTTTTAAAGGATTTCATAAATATTTTAAACTTACAAGCCTAGTAAAAATTGTTTATTACTGTATCATTGTTATGACTTTCCATTATAATTACTATTTAATATTTATCAATTTGAAAGGTAATATGTATTACCATTTTTATTTTGTGTTGATTTCATTATTTTGTTTTCTTAATTTCTTAATTTGTATGGTTCCTATTTAGTCTCATGCACATATTTATATGGGTTTATCATCCATCTTTTTATATATTTGAAAGAGTGAATAAATATAGAAATGCTTTAGAAAACTGGATGAGGAAAGATAGAATATAGAAAAACCTCAGTGATTGTGCAGTACATTAGATACTATTTTGTCCTAAACCAGAGCCCTGTTTTCCTCTGCAGAATCCAGTGAAATAGCTCATGACCAGGGACAAGTAGCTAGGAATGAGTGAGGGATGGGACACTACTAGCTCTCCACAACTGGAGAAAGGCAGACTCCGATGTTATTCAGGACATTGCCATGGTGAGACACAGGTGTGCTGACTAGGTTGTACAACTGCAGTTGAGAAGAATACATTTTGCCAAGCAATAAGGCTTCATATTCAGAAGAGAAAATTATCAAACAAAAAAATCACAAGTCTGCCTGAAGAAAAAAAACAGCATTAGGAAATAAAAATTTCCAGGATAAAATGCTTTGTTTATTTAAGTGATGTGCTGCAAATTGCTATAGTCTCTGTTGATAAGGGCATTGTGTTTAAAAGTAAACACAAATAGAGAAGTGTCACATTAGTGGAAATTTAATAAAAGTCCATTTTTAACGTAAATAATAAACTTCCTGTGTGCTTTTTTCAATTCAAATTAATGTGTACTGTTATTACAACATTGTACTGTAGAGTTAATTATTTTACAACCGTGTTTACAGTGGGATAGATACTAGGAAAAATAATGGCAAGTGAAAAGGTGGTAATAGAGCCAGCCTACCAAGTACAGAGAGATAAGATCTGCTGTGAAACTAAAGCTCATGAGGAAGATGCATTAAATATTTGCTTTAAGAAAGGCAAGGATGAAAAGATACAATTTGAATTCAACTAAATGCCTGTATGGGCACCAGTTATCTTCAGTAGTCCAGGGTTCCAGGATCAGGCAAGGAATCTGGTCAAGAGGTCAACGTTTGATGTGGCTATACTGTTAAATATAAAACCCAGTTCTTTATGATAAGGTAGCATAAAAGTAGTCTGTACAAAATATATCTGTATTCATAAGTGAATGCCATGATGCCAGTAGGATTTAGGCACAGTATTCATGAAGTGTGTACATATAATCAGTGTCAAGCTAATCAATGTTGTATACCCTCTTGATAAAACTGTGGCAGGACTAAGAATTTTATTATGTTATCTTTCTGCTCTGCCAGGCCTGCAGTGGAGCCTCTATAGGCTTTTCAAGTAGTTTTCTCATTTTCTAAGCAATAAATCAGGGTCCTGATGACCCGACATGGCATGTTGTTATCTGTCATGTTGAAACATTTGTAGATTTGTTTTATCAGCCAATGTCCAGGTTGCACAATGATTGTCCACATCTGATCACATAGAGGCAGACTTGCAGTGCATTCTTCACAGATGGAGTCAATAAACACACAGATGTTTTGAAGTATGGAAGGAGGTTCTGTGTCAAAGCTTTCACACTTTGCATCTAATAGTAAGTAGGGTTATGCATTGTGTTCCGCTGCATTTTCTGAGATAAATCACTTAACTGTGGCAGCATACATAAGCAG
The DNA here is from genome assembly GCF_000001405.40 of Homo sapiens. Lineage (NCBI taxonomy): Eukaryota > Metazoa > Chordata > Mammalia > Primates > Hominidae > Homo > Homo sapiens. The sequence continues at coordinate 102,679,803 of NC_000006.12, read as the reverse complement.
AAAGTTTGTAGAAATGCTTTGTAGCCCACACCAGCCAAGATCCAACTATTAAAACATAAACCATTTTGGGTATTTAGAACAGAGGGAATTTAAAGTAAGAACTGGTTACACAGGTAATAGGAGAGACTGAGAAACCAATTAGAAATACCCAGTTGGGGAGTATACCTTTGTATAACTTTAAATAGACAACTTTAGAGTCAAGAAGAACTACTGTGGATCTTATCCTTCCCAAGACCACTTACGAACATTGACTTAGAGACACTTAACAGTTATTGTCTTTCTGTGAGCCCATATAAACATAATCTTCCCTATACATCCATACACAAGTGCATTCCAATTCAATTACATAAAAAACATGTATTAATAACTGGAGTAGAAACTAAATATATAATGATTCCACCTCATATTTGATCTTCCTTGGTAAGCTTCAGGGACTTGCAGCTAAGTTAAATATCTCCTTTACCTGACCAAATCTCTCTAATTCCCATTCAATGTGGATTTTTCATTTCTTTGCTTTTGCAAATATATAAAGTGGAATTAACTACACAAAATGCAGTTGCTAGTTCACTTTTCACTTCTACTGACAGACTGTGCCCAGGGTCTGGTACAGTGTCTGAGTCAAGGTGGACACTTAGTAAATATTTGTAATGGGAAAATAATTAAATGTTCTATATCCTTGAAGCATTTCTAAAAAAATGACATAAATATAGAGGGCTTTGAGTAGGGGTTTTACGAGTAAGCTACAAACTTGACAGGAGAACAGAATCAAGAATATCCCCAAGCATGTTTAGAAACTTTTAGATAGTAAAATGATAGGAAACGCATCCCAATAAACTGAATAATATTTGTCTGGTATCAAAAGGCTGGGTTTTGTCCTCCTTGAATACACCTGAAAATACAAGCAAAAGTGCAGTTATTGTGCATAAAATCAATCAGTTGCCTTCTTTTCGAACTAATAAGGAGGAATTGTCCTGAGCATATTTCTAGAATACCCACAGACCTGATCTTAATCTGAGAGCCCTATGTTTAGCCAAGCATCATTGTTTTTACTATAGTACTCTATGATATCTATGGGTCTATCAATGTATCTATATCTGTGACTTAGATTGGCTTGCACAAAACTTTTTCCTTCTGTTTTTAGTAAGAGAAGTTGTAAAGCTAAAGTGACCTCTCAACCCTTTGCTACTAGGATTCTGGATGTGATTTAGGTACTGTCAGTTTATTTCACTCACATGAAATTTGATGAGCAGAAGTGAGGCAGAGGTGACTCTCCTTGAGCTACTGGCTGATGGTGGCAGTAAACAATGCTGCTGTTTTGTTGCAACATTGTTTATTATCCACTGTACTGCTTAATTGCATGAACATATGCATTCAGACCCAAACTAAGAAACTGAAGCAATCATGTTAAGATCACAGGAAAAAAGCCATGCAGAAAGAAGACCCAGTACAAATGCTGTGAAACAAAGCCAGAAAAAAGGCCAAAGTGGATGTACTTTATGAATAGGGAGAAGATGGAGGGTGAAAATCAAGACCATTTCCTGTATAGCCTCACAGGCCGTGGTAACAAGTAAAGATATTGCTTAACATTTAATGAAAAACTATTGGCAGTTTCCATGAAAGAAGTAATATAATCTGATGTACATATTAAAAAACTGGCTACTGATGAAAGGTGGTCTGTAGATAAACTGAAACAGGAAACAGGGAGGATGTTACTGTCATTTAGATAAACAAGGATGATAATTTAAATTAAGGTTGTAGTGATGGAAATGCTAAGATACTACTAATTCAGATTGCATTTTTATTTGTACCTTTGTGTTTACTAGTTTGAGGCATGATTCTCTGTTTCTGAATTTCTTCAAATTTCCATAATAATGTATTACAATTTTCCCATGGTTGCATTCATTTAACTAAGATAATAATTTAGAGTAGTTTGATTTATGACATATTCCTCTAATGGAAATCCAAATATTCGTTAACTGTGATGAACCCTAAGTTATATTAAAACAGGAGATTTTGGACATCTAGATTCTTTTTTTAAGTTCAAATTCCTGAGGGGAAACATTCTAAACTGACTTTCAATAAATAAAATTATCAGCATTGAGTTCAGGGTTAAGGGTGGATAAAACAAAACAAAGTGATACCTATTGCATTAAAATAATGTGTAAGATATGTAAAAAGTTTTCTTCTAACAGTATTATTGTTCTGATGAATGTCTAAAGTAATAAATATTATGACTTGTCACTTGGCAATTACAGGAAGACTTTTTGAGTCTGCAGATTCTTAATTATGTTGAAGATGTTCCTTGCCTTCTCTCCTTCTTTGAAAGCAGAAAAGAAAACAAATCTTAAATACGTCCAAGACATAAGGATGACATATTATAACAAGATATACTGCCTCCCATAAAAACAGAAATATCAAAAGTAAAAAGAATCTAATTATGAAATACTGTTCTATGGTATTTTCTGTTCTGTGTCATGTTAGGGAGGTTTGAAAGATAAGTTAAATGATGTGGCATGGCAAAGCAAGCAGTTAAATATCCTCAATCTCTCTCTCTGGGTGTTGCCTGCCAGTCAAGTTATTGATTGCAAATGAGAATAACGCATATTGCAAGCCAAGCTGACATAAACATCCTCACACATCATTCAATAATAAATAACATGGACTTGTCAAAATAGAAAAATATTTTCTTGAGACTTTAGTTTAATAGGTCTTAATGACTATAATCTATGCAATGAAATTTAATAGAGTTCCTAAAGGTAGAAAATTCATTTGATGATATTTCTCTAGCTGTGTTATATAAAATGTGTGCTATAAATCTGTGTTGTAAGGTCTCTAATCATTTAATTATTCTTATTATTTGGATAAATGCAGGAATGTAGTTGTCATATTAATACACCATTCAAATTAAGTGTAAGTCTTTCTTATTTTAGTTTCTGCCTTTTTTATTTGAGTGTTCTTTCAACATCTGATGATTCTTGATGATATTTTCTCATGCTTATAAATGAAGAATTAAAAGCTGAAAAGAAGCTCAAATGTGTAAACAAAGTTGATATACTGATTAGTCTTTAAACTCACTAGGCGCATTGAAATGAGACCAGGTTGCTTCATGTAAGGTAATGCATCTCCATCCACCCCAAAACCTGTATCCGTAGGCTTTTTCTCTTGGACTGGTCAGTTTTCCCGAGAGGCACTCTAAATTTTGGTTTGCTTGCTGTGGTTAGCCATATCCGGGTGTAAAAACAGAGTTTCATGAAGTAAGTCACATCAGCAGCAGCAGAGTTTAGTGGACCCCAGGACAGAGGCTTTCTTATTCAACTTTCCTTTTGGGAATAAACTTTTTTTCTGCAGGAGTGTAAGAGGGCAGCTCCTTAGCTAGCTAGTGATGAAGTTTATCAATTCGCTTTGTACAGTTTCAAACAGTCCTCTTCTAAGCATCTCTCTCTTGAGCACATACCTTCAGATAGCTGTGCTGCCTCTGAATCACCAGGCATTTTTAGGGAACTCTGTGAAAGAAATCTACAAGATTCTTGCACTATTCTTTACTAACTCCTGACCACCTGTTTAGACACTTGTTAGACAAAGAGATATATTTAAACCTCTTGTCATTTATTAATTGTGTATCTACTTCCCTTTATATAAACTGGTTGAGATTTCTCATTTGCGGCCAAATCTGCTCCATAGTTTTATATTTTTGTGCATTTATTTTAAAAAATACACTCACTTTTATTTACTGGAATTGTGGAATTAGTAGAGATAAACGTGTTCAAACAAAAAGTTCAATAAAAATCTCAATTATAATATTACTTTTATTAAAAATTATCTAGACATTTCCCTTTTTACAATTTATATATTATGTCAAATTATCAGTTAGTTACAATTTTTGCACATATTAGTCTGTAAAAATTTGTTCAAAATGCATATCTTGAGTTTTCTACTGAAATTTTAAAGATTTTCCTTCAGTGTGATGTTTTGAATGCACTTTCAAGCATCTTTATTGAGATTTTATGTTGTATCAACACAAATTATCTAATGATCTCAAACTAATATTAGCTTGAATCTATTATTTCATTCTGTCCTTTGGCTTTACCTATTTTTCCATTTTATTTTAATGCAAGTTAATATAAATCTATATTCAGAATAATGAATATTCTGTGGTTACAAATGTTATTTAAGAAAAACCGGTTTAAATCTCATATATTTATTTTTATGACAGATATACTCACTTCTAATTTCGATGTCTTATTTTATTTTTTTATTTTTCATGTTTCCTTGGCATTTCCTTCAGTGCATGTCTCTTGCTTTATGTTATTGTTTTACATGCTCTTAAACTATTTGGTGGGTAGACACCCTGCTTTAAGTATTCTAGATAAAGTGCATTTATTAAGGACATACCTATATTAATATTTTATAATGATTAAATAATAATAATTGGAGTGAGTATAGTCAATATTCTAATATTCTAATATTGATCTAATATTATCACTGCAACTGCTATTAAGTCACTTATATTTTCTGATCCTCATTTTTTTACTGTGTAAAATGAACATAAAAATAAATGACAGGATGGTCAAAGGATCTCTATCTATCTGAAATAAAAACAGAATGCTACATTTATTGCTCATTATATTAAGGGGAGCTATCCTATTTAGGTAGAGTCTCTCTGAGGAGAAGAGACTGCCATCTTATACAGATTTAAAAAAATATAGAGAGTTCAGGGATTTGTGGGCTTTCAAAAGAATAAGTGGGATAGCATCATCTGTAGAAGTACATTATTTAGATAAGACTGTTGTTGATTGGTTAGCACTTAGAGGGGTATCTGTTGGAGTGAGACTGTGATTAGCTAATTTTGATAAACAAGGTGCTGTAACTGGTTGGTGTGCAAAAGCATGCTCAATGAGAACAGTTTTTACTTTTTGAATAAATAGGTTAAAACTGGTCTGGATTGCTACTTGTATCATGGTTATAAGGCAGTCAATCTTTTTTCTAGAAGTGTAGAAACTTTCCATTTTCAGAAATATTTGAACAAACTGAATCAAAGACTTTATATAGAGGAATGAATACATTGCATGGTTCATTCTAGTACTGAATACACTGCAGTTAATATCATCATTAATGTTATGGCTAATTTTCAATAAAACTATAGAAACTTAGCAAAGCTTTCCATGCTATGTCTCTACATTGTGAAATTATTATCTTAAGAAACTTCTACTACAATAAATGTTCTTCGTCTGTAATGTATATATCTGTTAATCTCTACAAGTACGTAAATTATTAATGTTCCTTTCTTTTCTTTCTGCAGCATTCTTTAGCTTCAATTCACACACTCAACAAACATTTATTATCAACTATGCAACCATATGCCTCATATTTTTTGATGTGCTGAGGATATAGTAATTTATACATATACAAAAACATATGTTGGGATTTGGGTAGAGAGAAAGAGAATGTAAGAGTCCAACAAGGTAAGATCTCTTAACTAAAATTAATTACATAAGTAATTTATCCTTTAATATGGTGTTGAGTGCTAAGATGAAATATATAATATTGTGAAGTTTTAAAACAGAGTCATAGAGAAATGCCTTTTCAATATAGACATAAAATATGAGTAGAAGTTAGTTAAGGAATGAATGAGTGGTTGGGAGAGGAGCAATTATTCCATTAAGAAGAAGGATTTTGATAGCTAAAATGATTCTGATGGCTAAAGTTGCATTAAAGCCACCGAAAGGCAGTCTGTGTGAATATACAATAAAAGGGGGTAAATGATAGAAAAAAAAGCTGGGATAATAGAAAGCCTGAAGCAATGTAATGACACTAATAGTTAAAACGTGAGAATTGACTCCATTAAACTTAGATTCTTATTTGAATATAACGAGGTCGTTATGTGAGGAACAGATTGTAAGAAAATAAGAGAGGATCTGTGGTCCTGTCGGGGCACGGGAGGGTATTTTGTTAGTCATGTCGAGTAGGCACACGTTTTCTGCTGTTGTGGCATGGAGATGCTGAGGTGCAGTAGCATGCCATACCTACATTGAAGGCAGATTTTATAGGATTTAGTGATCAGTTTAATGTAGGGAAATTTGCTATTCAGAACAAGGCCACATTTCTGAGTAGAAAATTTGGAAGAGTCTTACTTACCTAGTAATTACAGCTGTAAGCAAAATGTGAGAGTAATTTCCATTAAGAGGTTTTTCTACAAGAGAATAATCAAGCTGATCTACAGAAAAACTTTCACCAATTTTCTCCCATCTTTTAACTGCAAATCAAGAAAATGGTTTTAACTGCTCCTTTTAAAATGTCTTTTTGAGCAATCCAATTTTGTTCTTGAGAAACCAATGAATTCACTTGAAACATTATAGTATCTTTCCCTTTCTCTCTCAAAAACATTTTGTCCTTGCATCAATATAGAGTCTCACAAAATAGAAATAAGCTTTCAGTCAGTCTTTGAATCATCTCAAAAGTTGATTATCAATGAAATATAAAGTAGGACTTGAATAGCATTCAGGTCAACAAACCAGGCTGTAAAGCAACATAGCTGCAACTCATTTAAAAAACAATCAGCTTGTGATCATTCGAATGTACTGTATTATACTAATTCTTAGAATTATGTTAGTGTGATTAATATTGAAGTTAAAAATTAGTATAATACGAATAATATTTTACTAATTTTATAATAATACTGAAGTTGTGTACATGCTTACTTTTCTACAGAAAACACATAGAGCTGGTAATCAGCAGCTTCCCAATAAGATCTCAGGAGTTGGGTAAATGGGCTTAAGCATCCATACTAAGAGCCAAAATGGTGGAGCTTAACCAGTATATGACCTTCCTCTGGGAACACTTGACTGATAAGGGAAAAAGGTCTCAAGTGAGCATAAACACAACTTCAGTATTATAAAATTACTATAATATTGTTAGTATCACACTAATTTTTAGAATTATAATTCAATTATATAGTTTACACATAGTTTAAACTGTCAAAATCATTGCACATGAAGTTGATTTTTCACTTTTGAAGTTTCAACTTATTCAGAGGGCACCAATAAAAATATATATATATTTACTTTGGATACCTATAGACTACTACATATAGTTCTGGTTTTCACTGATTATTTTAATAATAAGTATGAAATTAGCCTTTGTGAAGTTTATGATAATCAATCTTTGTTATCGGCATTAAATAAATTTAGTAGCAATCTGATTATGCATTCCCAGAAATGGGAATGTTAACAGAATCAATTTTATTCAGAATTTTCATCCCAGGTTTTTACCTTAGAAATTACTCTTCTTTTGTGTTCAAATCCCTTGAAGTCACAACATTTTTCTGCCCATATGTTATTTAAGCAACCATTCCTACAAATGAGGAACATGCACCTCCAACTGCATTTCTGATTATATGGCCCTTAATAATGTTAGAGTATGTAGGTAAGCAGATCTCAGGAGTTGTGTTAGAGGGCTCAAGCATGCACACTAAGAGCTGAAATGGTGTAATTTAACCAGTGTATGACCTTCATCTGGGAACACTTGACTGGTGAGCAAAAAACACCTCCTGTAAGCATTCACACAACTTCAGTAAACACACTGCACATATGGCCCCTCCCAAGTGCTGGCAGGCCACTGGACGTGTGGACAGCCTGCCCTAAGGGAAAAATCAAAGGAGGAGAAACACAAACCCTAGAACCATGCCAATGTATAAAACCCCAAGTCCAGGGCTGAATGGTGCACTTGAATCTCTCAAGTAGCCCACTTGGCCCTCTTCCAAGTGTGTTTTGCTTTCTTTTACTCGGCTCTAAAACTTTTTAATAAACTGTCACTCAGGCTCTAAAACTTGTCTCAGTCTCTCCCGCTGAGGTAAGCCTACTCCTGCCCTGCCCTCAGCGAATTCTTTCCTCCAAGGAGGCAAAAATCAGGTTTGCTACAGACCTGCATGGATTTGCTACTGGTAACAATAATATGAAAGAATTCTATCATCATTGTACATTACACGCATATACTAAAACATCACAATGTACCCCATAAATGTATACAATTGTGATTTTTAATTTAAAATATTTTTAAAAGAATTTCACCATTACCTCATTGTGTGTTAATATGTATTGTTTGTTTCCCCAAGCATTTCTTTGAAGGCAACTTAATCTTTGCAAAACTTGCGTTGTGGTATTCAGCACAAGGTTTTTTACTTGGTTTCCTTTGGACACAAAATTTGTCTGCTGATGTGGGTAAAAATGCTTCACTAGGACATAAAATAAACTAAAAATCAAGAAGCTAGAGAAGAATAAATCTATGTTGCAGAATATATTCAAATTACAACAGTATAGTAGAATATGATTGTTGATTTGTTTGTTTGCAATATGTTTTACTAACATACTTTGATTCAGAGTGTATAGTATAATCTGCAGCTATAGCTCTCCTAGACTGAGACCTTTTAACAGCCTTATGATATTTGGAAATAAACACAGAAACACATTTTACCAGATTACTCTTACTCAGTTTACTGGTATTGATTTATTTGTTTTTTTTAAGCAAAACATTTCAAAAACAAGTTAAAATGAATGAAAATAGCAGGGAAAATAATACTAAATAGGATAGATCATACATGTATTGAGAGGTGGTGTAAAGTAAATAGGTTACTGCAAAAAAGATTTCTGAATGCAGATAAAAAATTGAATAATAAATATCCATGCATGGTGAAAGATATCTAATTGTAAAGCCCATTTACTAAACAAGCTTCTTTCTACATTACTGGTGAATGACACAAAAATACATGGCTCAGATGCTGAACTTCTTGAGCAGTCTATTCATGTCATGAAAATCTTCCCTGTGAGCTCATTGTGAGCCATCCGTGTTAACAGTGCTGAGAATTTTAGTGATGCTGGACAACATTCCTGGCCTGCCTAATTTATTTCAGCACAGATTGCTCTCCCTGGCATAATATTTAGCCTCATAGAGAGATAATTAGATGATAAATAGGTGAGTAAATAGTTAGACAGATAGTGTTTGTAGGAGAACAAATCATAAAATGGAAACTAGATGATGATAATGCAATGAATAAAATATTAAATGTATTTTTGTAGACTATTTTGGCTTGGAGATATGCATGTTTTATCTATTTATGCCAAGTACAGCTTAGAGGCTGTAGAGAGAGCACAGAATTTGGATATATTACAATTTACCCTTCCCTTTATCTTCTTAATGTACTTACAATCATTATTACACATTGTCATCAACCTGTCCCATGCCAGAAATATATGTTCTTTAAGTAACTGATAGTCACATGACTTTGATCTTGAAGTACTCTTTTTATCCATCCTATCAATTAGAATCACTTATAGTAGAAGATGTATAATGAGCCCATAGTTAAGAATATATAATAAAATAAAACTTGAAAATAAAGCAATTTCTTAAACTATGCTTGTTATATTCCCAACCACCACTTTCTAAATTAATTTATGGCGAAATGCTGAAGGTCTCTACAATTATGCCATGCACATTATAAGTTTATATATTGGGGAAAATTTGGATTATTGAAGGTAGGAAATTGAGATGGCTTATACAATGTATTATACAATAATGTTTTAATACACTTAAATGAAGAATCAATAAGAAGATGTTTTTAATTTAGCATTAATGCATTTTCCTTTATGATAAATTATTCCAGTGGAATTGTAAAAAGGAAGTTGTTTTGTTTTCCCATGCTGTTGTTTCAGACTAATAAGTCATCAAATCAGGGCCTTGTAAAAGAAAATTTACCTTATTTTCTCACAAACGTTTTTACATAATAGTGTACAAAAAATTAATAGGGAGTATATTCTGGATAAAATCAAGTCTATAGATCAAAAAACTTTAGCCCATGTTTAGAAATTTGCTATACTGCTGTAATGTGTGAAACTTATTATTTATCATTTGTTGTAGCCACACAAAAGTCATAAAGAGGACAAGTTCTTGCCCTGGAGGCCTACAATCTTAGGAAGGCAAGTTTAGCAAGTAAAGTAGTAGAAAAACGATTTGCTGCACATGAAACTTTGATTCCCATTTTCCCTTTATCTTGACCATCTGTTAAAACAGCAATTTGAAATGTAGCTCTGCTTTAGAGGAATGATCAGTGAGCTAGAGACCTTGCTGCCATAAGTACTGGAAGTTTTTATTCAGTAAAAAGGGCACCCTTGGGCTACAAAAAAGCATTGATGAGCCATTCTTTCAGAAGGCAAGATTTTATGGTATTAAATTATTTTCTGTAACTTTGAATGATTCTGAAATACACAATTGATCACAGTGCCTATAACATTTCTGTTTCATTGGAGACGTTTGCTCCATATGTGAAAATTGAATACAACTTCATAGACTGCACTTAGAGAATAAAAATACTAAAAATTGCTAGTGAGACCGGGAATTAGTAATAAACGAAAAACAGGAAAAAGGATCATGGGACATAGTGATTCTTGGAGAAAAGGAACTGGAACAGAAATGACCATAGTGTGTAGAAAAGTGAACAGACTTACCTGGGTGTAATGAAAGGGTAATTTGAGGAAGAAATGGGAAATAAACATGGAATGCCGAATGGAGTAACAGTATGGAAAATCTTAGAACCAGAGCAATGAGATTAGGAGCAACTCCTCTCACTCTCAGGAGAATGCATAAATCATATATATTTAAGGTAGAAATTCTTAGAGCCAGCCTCATATTAAAATAATTGGTTTCTTCCTCAAGCACTAGATTTCTTAGTTTAATATCCTTGGAGGTTTTTAGGTGAATTTGATTTGTGTTAGACGAATCATAGTTTAGCACAGTTTTAATTAATAGAGCAGGAAAATATTATTTGTCTGTAATAGAGTAATAGGGATCATGCCCAAATAGAATTATTGAATTTAACGATCCAGAAACACACTTACACACACACACACATGCACAAAGGGACACACACATATCTAAATAATGAAATGTTTTATTTAAAAAACTAACAAATCAGCAAATTATGTAATAGAAAATAGTTTTATATTATTTTCTCTACATATATAATTGTTACCACTATATGTAAACTGTATTGAATTAATATGTAAGAATATTATATATTAATTATTGTTATAGGTTAGTATGCACACAGCTTGTTTCTATGATAAACGTGTGTAATATATTAATATAATTTTTCTGAGACAGACAATTCTAATTGCAATGCTTTGTCTTGTAATACTTTTTGTAATTTTTTTCTTAACTCCTTAATATTGGGGTTGTGCTAGATAATATTCAATAAAGCTTATTTCATTATTAATATATTGATGTACAAAAATCTATCTGATTAATTATCATTTTGCATTTTTTCCTGGTTTTACAATTGTGAATCTTGCCTTTCTTTTTGACTTCAGTGTTCAGAAACTATATATTTTGATAATTTTTCTTTGACCAGGGTATAGATATGCCTGAATTCTACACTTTTCTTTCCCATATTCAATTACAGACATCAATATTGTATCACTGGTTGGTACAACAGTATGGGTATCCCTGCATGACAGACACTATATGGGGACCTGCAGTTCCAGTAATAAAAAATTGACTAAGCTTCTGCTCTCATGGAGCACATTTTCTAGTATGAGAAACAGACTGAAAACAAAGACATGTGCTCATCTTTTTACTTAAGCCTAATTGACATAGAGATCATTTTTAATCATGCAAACTCCGAAATATGATTTATAGTAAAGAATACAAGGCTCTGTTAATAATCCATGGTGGTGTAGTGTGAATGGCATTTATATAGATGACATGGTTAGCAAAAGCCTCTCTGAGGTTTTGTCAGCTAGCAGTTGGGAAGGGTCAATCACGCTGAGAAATGGAGAAAAAACATTGATATTATAAAGGAACTGAGGAGCTGCAGCTTAGAGAGTTGTGGAGACTTGTATGATTATTATTAGTTTGAAAAAAAAGTGTTTTGTAAGTGCCACTGCAGTGCAGCACCAGGTGCGGTGGCTCACGCCTGTAATCACAGCACTTTGGGAGGCTGAGGCGGGCGGATCACAAGGTCAGGAGTTCGAGACCAGCCTGGCTGATATGGTGAAACCCTGTCTCTACTGAAAATACAAAAATTAGCCAGGCGTGGTGGTGGGCACCTGTAGTCCCAGCTACTCGGGAGGCTGAGGCAGGAGAATTACCTGAACTCTGGAGGTGCAGGTAGCTCTGAGCCGAGATTGCACCACTTTTGCCTGGGCAAAAGACTGTCTGTCTCAAAACCAAAAAAAAAAAAAAAAAAAAAGAAAGAAAGAAAGTGACTTGATTGACTTGATGCTCACTCACTCTATAGATTTCATTTCAAACTTTTCCCCCAACGATATCTTTATTTTCCTTTTTCAAATTTACTACTCCCCATTTTCACCCACAAAATTTGGACAGATTTGACTTCAGCTTCACTTCTGGAGTGTAACATGAATGTCTTAAACCAACTATTTAATTCTATTATCTTGGTCACAGTGATTAGTTTAGGAAAGGTATTACCTGGTTCTGGCAAATGAGAGAGAATCTCACAATATCCTGGGTTCTAGAGGAAGAAATTTGTTTTACTTTTAGATAATGGTTACTGTCTTGTGAGAGACCACAGAACTGCAGCAGATACAGAGGGGGTGGATGGAGACTTACTTAGAAGAGCCATAATGCCTTTTGAGAAGAAAATTATTTTTAAATTGAGCATAATATACCTTAGTATATTATACAGGTTTTTGTTTATATTGATTATCCTTATGGTTCTTTATTTATATTGATTATCTGGACATTACAAAATACTATAGCAGAATAGGCTTTCACATATTTGTTTGCTTAGCCTATCTGTTTAATTTCAATTTTTAATTTTGTGGATACATAGTAGTTGTATAAATTTGTGGGATAGATGATATATTTTGATACAGGCATACAATGCATAATAATCATATCAGGATAAGTGAAGGATTCATCACCTAGAGAATATATCCTTTCTTTGTGTTACAAACAATCCAGTTATATTTGTTTAGTTATTTTATTTTATTTATTTCAATTTTTTTTTTGATACAGGGTTTCGCTCTGTCACTCAGGCTGGAGTGACACAAACTAGCCTTACTTCAGCCTTAACCTGGACTCAAGTTATACCCCCACCTCAGCCTCCTGGGACCACAGACATGTGCCACCATACTTGGCTAATTAAAAAAAAAATTGTAGAGACAGGGTCTCGTCATGTTGCCCAGGCTGATCTCAAACTCCTGACTATAAGCAATTCTCCTGCCTTGGACTCCCAATGTTCTGGGATTACAGGCATGAGTCACCACACCTGGACTTTTAAAGATATTTTAAATGTACAATAAATTATTGTTGATTAGAATCATCCTGTTGTACTATCAAATACTATGTCTTATTCATTCCACTCTTCCCCACAATATTCTTTCCAGCCTCTGGTAAGCATAGGTCGGTGTTTGCCCAGTTCAATGTCCTGAAGATCTTCCCACAAGTTTTCTTTTAGTAGTTTCATAGTTTCAGGTCTTAGATTTAAGTCTTTAATCCATTTTGATTTGACTTTTGTATATGTCAAGAGATAGGGTCAAGTTTTATTCTGCACATGGATATCCAGTGTTCCCAGCAACATTTACTGAAGAGACTATCTTTTCCCCAGTGTATGTTCTCGAAAACTTTGCTGAAAAGGAGTTCACAGCAGATGTATGGAATTATTTCAAAATTCTATTCTGTTACATTGGTCTGTATGTCTGATTTTATGCCAGTAACATGCTGTTTTTGTCTATAGCTTTGTAGTACAAAGTGAAGTAAGGTAATATGATCCCTCCAGTTTTGTTCTTTATGCTTGGAATAGCTTTTACTATTCTGGGTCCTGTGTGGGTCCATATAAATTTTAGGATTTTTTTTTTTCTATTTCTGTGAAGACTGTCATTGGTATTTTGATAGGGATTGCATTAAATCTGTAGATTGTTTGGGGTACTATGGACATTTTAACAATATTTATTCTTCCAATCAATGAACATGGAATATATTTTTTAAATTTTTTTGGTGTCCAATTCCTTTCATGAATGCTTCATAGTTTTTATTATAGAGATCCTTTACATTTTTGGTTAATTCCTAATTATTTTATTTATTCACAGCTATTGAAAATAGGATTCCTTTATTTCTTTCACAGATTGTTCACTGTTAGCATATAACAATGCTAATTTTTGTATGTTGATTTTTTTATCCTGCAAATTTACTGAGTTTATTTATTTGTTCCAATAGTTTTCTTCTGGATTCTTTAGGTTTTTTCAAATACAAGACTATATCTGCAAACACACATATAATTTGACTTCTTCCTTTTCAGTTTGGATGCACTTTACTTCTATCTCTTGTCTGATTGCTCTAGCCAGGATTACCAGTATTATGTTGAATAACAGTGGTGAAAGTGGGCATCATTGTCCTGCTCTAGATCTTAGGGGTAACGCTTTCAGTTTTTCTTTGTTTTGTATAATACTAGCTACAGGTCTGTAATATATGACTTTTTTTGTATTGACATATATTCCTTCTATACTCAGTTGTTTTGACTGTTTTTACCATGAAGGGATGTTGAATTTTATCCAATGTTTTTTAGTATCGATTGAAATTATTACACGGTTTTTGTCCTTCATTCTGTTTAAATGATTGATTTGTGTGTGTTGAATCATCTTGCATGCCTGCGATGAATCCCACTGGGTCATACTGAATAATCTTTTTAATGTGTTAAATTTGGTTTGCTAATAATTTCTTGAGGATATTTGGACCGATGTTCATAAGGAATATAGACCTGTAGTTTACTTTATAAATTTATTTTTATCTGGGTTTGGTGTCAGGGAAATATCAGCCTGATAATGTGACTTTGGAAGCGTTCCCTCACCGCCTTATTTTCGCTGAGTGGGACTGGTAGTTTTTAACATGCTTGGTACAATTTAGCAGTGAAGCCATGGATCTCAGCCTTTGCTTTATGGGACAATTTTTACTATGGCTTCTCTCTTGTTAGTTGCTGTTGATCTTTTCAGGTTTTGGATTTCTTTCTGAATCAGTTTTCGTAGGTTGCATGTTTCTAGGAATTTATCAATTTTTTCTAGGTTTTCCAACTTATTGGCATGTAATTGCTAATAGTAGTCTGTATTGAGCCTTTAAATTTCTGTGGCATCAGTTGTAATGTAACCTTTTTTGTTTCCAATTTTATTAATTTGGGTTTTTTCTTTTTATTCCTTATTTGGGCTAAAAGTTTATCAATTTAATTTATATTTTCAAAAAAAACTTTTCATTTTATTGATATTTTGTCATGTTTTCATTTATTTCTGCTCTGATCTTTATCATTTTTTATTTTCTACTACAGTTCTTGAGATTGATTTGGTCTTTCTATTCTACTTCCTTAAGATGAATTATTAGGTTATTTATTTGAAGTGTTTTTACTTTTTTGATGTAGGTGCTTATAGCTATAACTCTCTTCTTTGTACTACTCTCACTATATTTAATAGGTTTTGGCATATTTCCATTATCTTTGTTTCAAGATATTTTAAAATTTCCTTCCTAATTTCCTCATTGACCCACTGGTCATTCAGGAGCAAATTGATTGTTATTGATTTCTAGTTTTATTCCATGTGGTAAGAGAAGATTCTTGATATGATTTCATTTTTTTTAATTTTTAAAGACTTACTTTTGGCCTAAAATATGATCTGTTCTTGAGAATGATCCATGTGCTGGGAAGAAGAATGCGTATTCTGAACCTATTGGATTAAATTTTCTGGAAATATCTACTAGGCCCATTTGGTCTATGGTGGAGATTAAGTTAGAAGTTTCTTTGTTGATTTTCTCTCTGGATGATTTGTCCAATGCTGAATGTGAGGTGTTGAATTCTCCAGCTATTATTGTATCAGAATCTGTCTCTCTCTTTCTCTGTAAGAATAAGAATCGTTTTTATTTCAACATTTACTTTCTCTGATCTAAGTATTATGTCTGCTGCTTTTATGGTTTCCATTTGCATGGAATATCTTTCCATCACTATATTTTCAGTCTATGCATGTCTTTATAGGTGTAGTATATTTTGTGTAGGCAACAAATGGTTGGGTCTTGTATTTCTATTCATTCAGCCACTCTACGTCCTTTGATTGGAGAGCTTAGTTTCTTATATTTAATGGTATTATAGCTAAGTCAATAGTTACTCCTGCCATGTCGTTATCTGTTTTCTGGTTGTTTTGTGATCAACTGTTCCTTATTTCTTTTCTTCCTGTCTTCCTTTTAGTGAAATAATTTAAATTTCACTAATACGGTGGAATATTTTAAATTTTGCTTTTTATTTTTTGTGCATTCATTGTATGCTTTTAGATTTGACTTTACCATGAGGCTTACATATATTATAACCTATTATTTAATACAGATGAAAACTTACCACTGATTGCATAAACAAACAAAAAAACTAAACAAGAAGCAAAAGAAAACTAATAAAAACTGTACAGTTTAACTTGTCTTCCTGCTTTTTAACTTTTTGTTATTTCTATTTACATCTTATTTTACTATCTGCATCTTAAAAAGTTGCCATTGTTATCATTTTTGATTAGGTCACCTTTTTATTCTTCTACTTTAGATATGAATAGTTTACAAATCGAAATTACAGTGTTATAATATTCTGTGTTATTCTTTGTACTTACTATTGCCAGTGAGTTTTATATTTTTAGAAGATTTCTTATTGTTCCTTAATATCTTTTTCTTTCAGATTGAGTAACTCTTTCTAGCATTTCTTGTATGACACATCTGAAGTTGAGAAATCCCTGGCCTTTTCTTTGTCTGGGAAAGTCTTCATTTCTTCTTCGTGTTTGTATGATATTTTCCCTGGATATAACATTCTACTATAAAAGTTTTATTTTTCCATTTGCACTATAAATATGTCATGTCACTCTCTCCTGGGCGCATAAGGTTTCTACTGAAAAGTCTGCTTCCAGATATGTTGGCACTCCATTGTATGCTATTTTTTCTTTAATCACGCTGCTTTTAGGATTCTTGTTTTATCTTTTATCTTTGAGAGTTTGATCATGAAATGCTTTGAGTTAGTCCTGGTTTATATCTTCTTGGTTTTCTATGACTGTCTTTTACTTGCTTATTGATATCTTTCTCTAGGTTTGGGAATTTGTCTGTTATTATCTCTTTGAATAAACTTTCTACCTCTATCTATCTGTCTCTTCTTAAGTGCCAGTAACTCTTAGATTTGCCCTTTTGAGGTTATTTTCTAGATCTTGTAGTCATGCATTTCTCTTTTAATTATTTTTCTTCAAAGTCCTCTGTGTATTTTGAAATAGCATACTTTCAAGCTCACTAATACTTTCTTCTGATTGATCAATTATGATATTAAGAAATTCTGATGCATTCCTCAGTATGTCAGTTGCCTTTGTTAGCTCCAGAACTTCTGCTTGATTCTTTGTAATTTGTTCAAACTCCTTTTTAAATTTATCTGATAGAATTATAAATTCATTTTCTGTATTATCTTGAATTTCTTTGAGTTTCCTCAAAATGGCTGTTTTGAAGCCTCTGTCTGAAAATCCTCATATTTCTGTCTCTCCAGGTTTCATCCCTTGTGCATTATTTATTTCATTTGGTGGGATTATGTTTTCATGAATGATCTTGATGCCTGTGGATATTAATTTGTGTCTAAGCATTAAATATTTCAGCATTTATTGTCATCTTCAGTCTGAGCTGGTTTGTCCTCATCCTTCTTGGGAAGGTTTTCAGGTATTTGAAGGGACTTGAGTATTATAATGTAAGTTTTTGGTCACTGCAGCCATATCTGCATTAGGGGGTACCTCAAGGATGTTAGTACTGTTCTTCTTGCAGACTTGTAAGGATTATACGTTGGTGGTCTTGAATAAGATCCAAAATAATTCTCTGGATTACCAGGTAGAGACTCCTGTTCTCCTCCCTTACTTTCTGCCAAACCTGCAGAGTCTAACTCTCTCTGTGTTGTGCTTCCTCGAGCTGAGGGAAGTATGACACAGGCACTTTTCTGTCCACTACCAGTGGGACTGCACTGGGTCCCACCTGAAGACTGAAGCCAGCGCGGCACTGGGTCTCCCCCAAGGCCCTTGTTAACCACTACCTGGCTACCACCTATGTTTTCTCAAGGCTCCAGAACTCTACAATTAGCAGATGGTGAAGCCAATCAGTCTGATGCCCTTTTGTATTAGTCTGTTTTCACACTGCTATAAAGAAACTACCTAAGATGGGGTAATTCATAAACAAAACAGGTTTAATTGACTCACAGTTCCACATGACTGGGGAGGCCTCAGGAAACTTGCAGTCAGGTGGAAGGCACAGGAGAAGCAAGGCACATCTTGCATGGTGGCAGGAAAGAGAGTGAGAGACAGAGGAAATGCCACACTTCTAAACCATCAGGTCTCCTGAGAACTTACTATCATGAGAACAGCATGGGGGAAACTGCCCCCCAATCCAATTACCTCCCACCAGGTCCCTCCCTCAACATGTGAGGATTCCAATTTAAGATGAGATTTGAGTGGAAACACAGAGCCAAAGCATATTATCTTCTCTTTACAGTTTAAAGTTTCCCCTTACCCTGGGCCCGAAGCAGATCCAGAGATGGTGTCTGGGAGCCGTGGTTGGGAGCTGGAAACTTTAGTAATCTACCTGGTACTCTTCTACTTCACCTGAGCTGACACTGAAACCACAAGACAAAGTTCTATCCACGCTTCCCTCCTCTTTTCACAGGCAGAGGAGTCTTTCCTTTGTCCACCACCACCACAGGTCCCCAGTGAGTATTGTCAGGATACCGCCAATATTAATTTATGACCCAAAGGCTCTTCAGTCACCTTGAGTTGAAGGCTTCCCATACTGTGATTCACCTTCAGGACAGTGGGTTCTCATCTGGCTCAGGGTTAGTTCAGAAATGTCATCCAAGAGACAAGTCCTGTAAAAGGGGAACCCAAAAACCCAGTTGGTGCTCTTTCCCACTGTGGCCGAGCTAGTACCTAACCTGCAAGACACAGTTCTGTTGACTTTTTAATCTCTTTTTCTCAATTGGAAGGAAGGAGACTTTCCAAGAGTTTCTAGCTGCATTCCCTGGGGTTGGGAGAGTGGTGTCACAAGCACTATCTTGGCCACCCAGGCTGGTTTCTCACCAGGTTGCATGCACTGCCAGTCCACTGCATCTGAGCCCAGCGCAACTCTGGGACTTGCTGAATAATTGCACTTCTTATGGCCTAGACTGCCTTTAAAGTTTATTTAGAAACCCCAGGGCCCCTTAGCCTGTGGTGGCGAGGCTTGTCAGAATATGAGTTCCAGCTGCTGGGATGGGCAATTCCTCTCTGGCTAGGGCTGATCTAAATGTTCCCTACGTGGGTGTTAGCTGATTTCTGCCAAGTGTTGCTTTCTGTCATGACAGGGCAGCACTGAGTTCACTGCGAAGTCCCACAGTGCTCTTTCTTCCCGAGGTGAACAGATTCTCTCTCCAAGCCATGTAGCTGCTGCTGGGTATAGGAGTGAGGTGGTATCAGCAGTACAAGACTGACTTTCTTACCCTCTTCAGTGCCTCTTTCTGTGATCTGAAGTTAAAAACAAGTACTGTGATTACTCATTAGATTTTTGGTTCTTATGCAGGTTCATTTTTGTGTGGATAGTTTTTCAATTTGATGTTCCTATTGGCAGGGGCATGATTGACAAAGACTTCTACTTGGTCACATTGTTTTGTCTGCTCTCAGCCTATATGTCTTTAATACGTAGTCTGGTTGATGTAATTTTTAACCAAGTATCATTTATGTTTTTATTTACTAAGTTATTTATTATTTTGTATTTATTTTTAATTGATGCATTATAATTACACATATTTATGGGGTACAATGTGATGTTACTTTACATATCCATGTTGTATAATGATCCAATCAGGGTTGTTAGTGTATCTATTACCTCATGCATTTATCATCTTTTGTTGGTTGGAATATTCAAATGCCTCTCTCCTAGCTATTTTGTAACATACAATATTTTACTGTTAACCGTAGTCACCCTAGCGTGCAATATAATACCAGAAATTATTCCTTCTATCTGACTGTAATTTTGTACCTTTTGACACACCTCTCCCATCCTTCCCTCCACCCTCCCCTCCTAGTCTCGTAACCATTGCTTTTGTTGTGCAGCACATTTTTAAGTTTTTATTTATAGATTTTTTCATATAAGTGAGTCTTTCTGTCTCTAGTTTATTTCATCTAACATTATGTCTTCAAGTTTTAGCCATATTGTCACAAATGACAAGATTTCATTCTTTTATATGGCTGAATGGTATTCCATTGTGTATATATACACCATATTTCTTACCCATTAATCAATCGTTGGACACTTAGAATGATTCCATTTACTGACTTATTTTTAATTGAATCAATCAAGTGTACAATTTACAGGTTGGACTATAATTATTGTAGTAATATGCCTATGTACCTACCTTAATAAATATCCTTCTATATATAATTCTAAATTTTAATATGCACAATCTAATACAAGTAAAAATACATTTCATCAGTAGCAAAAAATGGCTTCCTTATTAAAAGCTATCTTCTTGAAACTCATAGCACAAATCATACTCAAAGTTGAGACATTAAATGTAATTGCAGTTCAAACAAAAATGGCAATGTTTACTATTATGGTTCAGCACTGAACTAAAAGTCCAGGAGTAAAAAGGCAAAATAAGGAAAACAGGAAATGTAAGAAAAAATAGTATCAAAAGCTATAAAAAACTAATGAAAATTAACTCAAATGCAGTAAAATCTTATTCATGAATACTATTATAAAAATAATAAATAACTATAATCCAGTGAATCCAAACAGTGCTTTAAAGAACATGTCACATCCAGAGTTTAAACTAGCGATGTTTCAAGGTTAATTAGATCACTTACAGTGTAACTGGATAACTTATTCTCTATTTGCCACTTCAGAATCTTTTCTTCCTTTCTATGCCATATTCTAGATTCTGGAAAGCTGACCTTTATTGATTGCATGACTTGCTTCTTGCACTCTGGCTTCCAGTTGAATTTGTCTAATCAAAGCAGGTGACAAGGGAACAAGTGTGCTTATTTCCCCAATTCTTTTCTCTACGGCTATGGTTTTAGCAGACCTTATTCCTCTTTAAATGACTGCAGCTCTCAGCAAGGAGTCAATTTCCTAGACTTGAATTTCTTCCCTGGTTCTAGTAACATCATTTCTTCTGCTTTTCACCTAGGAGAGATAATGGAGTCCCTTGATTTCTAGTCTTTGGAGGCTTCACTGACCTTTGTTGCTTCTGTTAATCCTAACCACAAATCTTTGTATTGAATAGTTTTAAAAATTCTTATGAATGCTATTATAAATTATTAGTGTATTAATGTACTTTATTCTTCAGGATTATTTTGCTGAATTTAGTCATTTTATTCTATCTTAACGTTTCATTTATTTTGTAATTTTAACTTTTATTTTAGATTCAGGGGTCATGTACAAGTTTTTTGCTGGAATATACTTTGTGATACTAAAGTTTGGGACACGGATGATCCTGTCACATAGGTAGTGAGCATAGTAACCAACAGTTAGTTTATTTCAATTTTTTTACCCCTCCCTCCCTTCCCCTTCTAAATGTCATTAGTGACTTTTGTTGCCATCTTTATGTCCATGAGTACCCAACATTTTGCTCACTTATACATAAGAACATGTGGTATTTGGTTTTCTGCCCCCGCATTAATTTACTTAGGATATGGCCTCCAGTTTCATCCATGTTGCTACAAAGAAGATGATCTTGGGCTTTTTAATGGCTGTATAGTATTTCATTGTATATTTGTACCACATTATTTTTATCAAATCCACCATCGATGGACACCTAGGTTGATTTCCTATCTTTGATATTGTGGATAGTGCTGCAATAAACATATAAGTGCATATATCTTTTTGGTAGAATAATTTGTTTTCTTTTGGATGTATACCCTTTAATAAGGTTGCTAGGTGTAATGATAATTCTGTTTTAAATTCTTTGGGAAATGTCCAAACTGCTTTACACCGTGGCTGAACTAATTTACATTTCCCCTGATATGGTTTGTCTGTGTCCCAACCCAAATCTCATCTTGAATTGTAGCTCCCACAATTCTCACATGTTGTGGGAGGGACCCAGTGGAAGGTAATTGAATCATGGGGGTGGGTCTTTCCTATGCTAGTCTTGTGATAGGGAATAAGTCTCATGAGATCTGATGGTTTTATAAAGGGGAGTTTCCCTGCACAAACGCTATTTTGCCTGCTGCCTTCCATGGAAGACATAACTGGCTCCCCCTTGCCTTTCACCATGATTGTGAGACCTCCACAGCCATTCAGAACTGAATCTATCAAATTTCGTTATTTTATAAATTGCCTAGTCTTTGGTATGTCTTTATCAGCAGTGTGAAAATATACTAATACAGTTCCCAACAGTGTGTAAGCATTCCCTATTCTCTACAGCTTTGCCAGCATCTGTTGCTTTTTGACTTTTTAATAATAGCTATTCTGACTAGTGTGAGATGATATCTTATTATGGGTTCAATTCGCATTTCTCTGATTGTTGGTGATGAGAATTCTTTGTATGTTTGTTCATCACTTGTATGTATGTTTTTGAGAATTGTCTATTTATGTCTTTTGCCCACTTTTTAATAGGCTTATTTGTTTTCACTTGTTGAATAGTTTAAGTTTCTTATGGACTCTAGATATTAGGCCTTTGTTGCATGCAGTGTTTGTGAATATTTTCTCTCATTCCATAGATCATCAGACTGCTTTGTTGATAATTTTTTTATAGTTCAGAAGCTCTTTAGTTTAATTAGATCACATGTCAATTTTTCTTTTTGCTGCAATTTCTTTTGAGGACTAGTCATAAATTCTTTCCCAAAGCTGATGTCCAGAGTGGTGTTTCTTAGGTTTTCTTCTAGGATTCTTATAGTTTGTGATCTTGCATTTAATTTTTTTTCATTAAATAATATTTATTTTTTTAATTTTTGTGGGTAAATAATAGGTATATATATTTATGGGGTACATGAGATGTTTTGATTAAGACCTGCAATGTGGAATATGGAGAATGGGGTATCCGTGCCCTCAAGCATTTATTCTTTAAGTTACAAACAATACAATTACACTTTTCAAGGTATTATAAAATGTACAATTAAGTTATTACTGACTTGAGCCACCCTGTTGTGCTATCAAATAGTAGGTCTCATCCATTCTTTCTATTTGTTCTTGTACAAATTAACCATCCCCACCTCCCACTGAGCCCCTCACTACCCTTCTCAGCCTCTAGTAACCATCCTTTCTCTCTCTATGTCCATTAGTTTCATTATTTTCATTTTTAGATCTCAAAATAAGTGAGAACAAGCAATGTTTGTCTTTCTTGGTGTAGCTTATTTTACTTTACATAATGATCTCCAGTTCCATTTATGCTGTTGCAAAAGACAAGATCGCAATAATTTTTATGGTTGAGTAGTCCTCCATTGTGTATATGTACCACATTTTCTTTGGCCATTCATCTGCTGACAGACACTTAGATGGCTTCCAAATCAACAGTGCTGCAACAAACATCAGAGTGCAGATATACCTTCAATATACTGTTTTATTTCTTTGGAGTATACACCCAGCAGGAAAATTGCTGAATCATATGGTAATTCAATTTTTAGATTTTTGAGGAACCTCCAAACTTTTTCCAGACTCACCTCCTTTGATTAGTTTGTCTAATCTAATCACTATTCTCCATAGTGGTTGCACTAATTTACATTTCCACCAACCGCACATAAAGGTATTTTGCCTCCACATTCTCTCCAGAATTTGTCATTGTTTGTCTTTTGGATAAAGGGCATTTTAAATGGGGTAAAAATAATATCCTCCTGTTGAATTGACCTCTTTATCATTATGTAAACTACTTTGTCTATTTTTATAGTTTTAGTATTGAAATCAACTTTTTTCTGATACAAGTATAGTTATTTCTGCCTTTTTTGGTTTCTATTGGCATGGAATATCTTTCTCCATCCCTTTATTTTCAGTCTATATGTGTCTTTATATTTGAAGTGTGTTTCTTGGAGCCACCAGATCAATGGGTCTTGTTTATTGATCCATTCAGCCAGTATGTATCTTTTGATTGGAAGCTTTAATCCATTTACATCATTGTTATTATTGATAAGTAAAGGCTTACTTTTTGTTATTTGTTTTCTGCTCTTCTCTTGTTTCCTTTTTATCTCCTTCTAGTGAAGGTGATTTTTTCTGGTGATATTGTTTGCTTCTTGCTTTTTATTTTTTGTGTATCCATTGTATTTTTTTGTTTCAGGTTACCATGAGGCTTGCAAATACTATCTTATTATCCATTATTTTAACCTCATAAAAACTTTTAACACTATTTGTACAAACAAACAAACAAGCAAAAAAGAAAACTAGTAAGGACTCTATGCTTAACTTCATTCCCCCATTTTTAAACTTTTGTTGTTTCTATTTATATCGTATTGTATTGCCTAGGTCTTGAAAAGTTGTTGTAGTTGTTATTTTTGGTTGGTTCATTGTTTAATATTTCCACTTAAGATAACAGTAGTTAACACACTACAGCAACACTGTGGCAGTATTCTGTGTTTCTCTGTGTACTTACTACTCCCAATGAGTTTTATACTTTCAGATAATTATTTATTGCTCATTAATGTCCTTTCCTTTCTGACTGAAGTACTCTCTTTAACATCTCTTGTAAGATAGGTCTGGTATTGATGAAATCCTTCAGCTTATCTGGAAAAGGCTTTATTTCTTCTTTATGTTTGAAGAATATTTTCACTGGATATACTATTCTAGAGTAAGATTTTTTTTTCCCTTTCGCACTTTAAATATGTTATGCCATTTTGTCCTGGCCTGTAAGGTCTCCACTGAAAAAGAATGCAATCAAATGTATTGGAGTTCCATTGTACATTATTTATTTCTTTTCTCCTGCTGCTTTTAGAATCTTTTATTTATCCTTAATCTTTGAGAGTTTGCTATTTCTTCATTTTTTTCTTGTTGTTTTTAAGAGCACGTATTTTATTTAAATTTTATTTTATTTTATTTTAAGTTCTGGGATACATATGTAGATTATGCAGATTTGTTACATAGGTAAATGTGTGCCGTGGTGGTTTGCTGCACCTATTAATCCATCACCTAGGTATTAATCACCACATGCATTAGCTATTTATACTGAATCTCTCCCTCCCGCTACATCCCCTTTGCCTGACAGGCCCTAGTGTGTGTTGATCCCCTCCCTGTGTCCATGTGTTCTCATTGTTCAGCTCTCACTTACAAGTGAGAGCATTTGGTGGTTTTTTTTTTTTCCGTTTCTGTACTAATTTGCTGAGGATAATGGCTTCGAGTTCTATCTATGTCCCTGCAAATAAAATGAAGTCATCATTTTTTATGGCTGCATAGTATTCCATGATGTATATGCACCACATTTTCTTTATCCAGTCTATCACTGTTGGGTATTTGGGTTGATTCAATGTCTTTGCTATTGTGAATAGTGCAGCAATGACATATGTGTGCATGTATATTTATAATAGAATAATTTATATGCCTTAGGGTATATACTCAGTAATAGGATTGCTGGGTCAAATGGTATTTCTAGTTCTAGGTCTTTGAGGAATCACTAAACTGTCTTCTGCATTGGTTGAACTAATTTAAAACTGTGTAAAAGTGTTCCTATTTTTTTACAGCCTTGCCAGCATCTGTTGCTTCTTGACTTTTTAATAATTGCCATTCTGACTGGCTTAAGATGGTATCTTGATGTGGTTTTTAATCTAAATTTCTCTACTGATTAGGAATTCTGAAGTCTCTTTTTCATGCTTTTTGGCCATATAACTGTTTTCTTTTGAGAGGTGTCTGTTCTTGTCTTTTTTCCACTTTTTAATGGGGTTGGGGTTTTTTTTTGTAAATTTTTTTAAGTTTCTTATAGATTCTGGGTATTAGATCAACTTCAAACTATCCTACAAGTATAGTAACCAAAACAGCATGGTACAGGTACGAAAACAGACACATAGATCAATGGAATAGAATACAGATCTCAGAAATAAGATCACACATCGACAATCACCTGATCTTTGACAAACCTGACAAAAAGAGCAATGGTGAAAGGATTCCCTATTTAATAAGTGGTGCTGGGACAACTAGCTAGCCATTTGCAGAAAGTTGAAACTGGACTTCTTTCTTACATCTTATACGAAAATTAACTCAAGATGGATTACAGACTTAAGTGTAAAACCCAAAACTATAGAAAACTGGCTAGCCATATGTAGAAAGCTAAAACTGGATCCCTTCTTTTCACCTTATACAAAAATTAATTCAAGATGGATCAAATACTTAAATGTTAGACCTAAAACCATAAAAATCCTAGAAGAAAACCTAGGCAATACCATTCAGGACATAGGCATGGGCAAGGACTTCATGTCTAAAACACCAAAAGCAATGGCAACAAAAGCCAAAATTGACAAATGGGATCTAATTAAACTGCAGAGCACAGCAAAAGAAACTACCATTACAGTGAACAGGCAACCTACCTAATGGGAAAAAATTTTTGCAGTCTACTCATCTGACAAAGGGCTAATATCCAGAATCTACAAATAACTCAAACAAATTTACAAGAAACAAACAAACAACCCCATCAAAAAGTGGGCAAAGAATATGAACAGACACATTTCAAAAGAAGACATTTATGCAGCCAACAGACACGTGAAAAAATGCTCATCATCACTGGCCATCAGAGAAATGCAAATCAAAAACACAATGAGATACCATCTCACACCAGTTAGAATGGGGATCATTAAAAAGTCGGGAAACAACAGGTGTTGGAGAGGATGTTGATAAATAGGAACACTTTTACTCTATTGGTGGGACTGTAAACTAGCCAAACCATTGTGGAAGACAGTGTGGCGATTCCTCAAGGATCTAGAACTGGAAATACCATTTGACCCAGCCATCCCATTACTGGGTATATACCCAAAGGATTATAAATCATGCTGCTATAAAGACACATGCACACGTATGTTTATTGTGGCACTATTCACAATAGCAAAGACTTGGAACCAACCCAAAAGTCCATCAATGATAGACTGGATTAAGAAAATGTGGCATATAAATACCATGGAATACTGTGCAGCCATAAAAAATGATGAGTTCATGTCCTTTGTAGGGACATGGGTGAAGCTGGAAACCATCATTCTCAGCAAACTATCACAAGGCCAAAAAGCCAAACACTGCATGTTCTCACTCATAGGTGGGAATTGAACAATGAGAACACTTGGACACAGGAAAGGGAACATCACACCAGGGCCTGTCATGGGGTAGGGGTAGAGGGGAAGGGATAGCATTAGGAGATATACTTAATGTAAATGACGAGTTAATGGATGCAGCATACCAACATGGCACATGTATACATATGTTGCAAACCTGCACGTTGTGCACATTTACCCTAGAACTTAAAGTGTAATTAAAAAAATATAAAAAAAAGAGACCACAAGAATGTCTAGGCAATACCATTTAGGACATAGGTACACACAATGATTTTATAATGAAAATGTCAAAAGGAATTGCAACAGAAGCAAAAATTGACAAATGGTATCTAATTAAGCTAAAGAGATTGATTATTAAATGCCTTGAGGTAGTCTTCTTTGGGTTAAATCTGCTTGATGTTCTATAACCTTCTTGTACTTTAATAATGATATATTTCTCTATGTTTCAGAAGTTATCTGTTATAAACTTTGAATAAACTTTCCACCCCTGTATCTTGATCTACCTCTTTTTTAAGGCAAATAACTCCTAGATTTGCCCTTTTGAGTCTATTTTCTAGATCCTATTAGTGTGATTTTTAGACTGACTGTGTTTGTAAAAGCTTGATGAAAGGACAGTTAAGTATTTTGATCACTGCATTTTGTTTGAAACTTGTGTCATTGATGTATTTTAAAACTTTTGTTTAAAGCATTACAGTATTTTTCTGTGACCATCAATTAATATGAGGGTTTGTGCTGTAAGAGTTAAAGCATATGCTATCATTGTATTCTTTAAGAACCTTATTTTGATAAAATGTAAATTTGTTGAACCCTGCCACATTTAGTATCCCCACCCCCAAATCCTGTTCCAATGAAAAAAGTAAAACCTGATACCAAAAAAAGAAAAATTTTAGTTAACCTATTTTGTGTCTGTAGGCTGACCTCAACCCTGTAACATAACCCATTAAAATGAATTTTTTTTTTTTTAAAGACAGAGTTTCTCTCTGTCACCCAGGCTGGAGTGCAATGGCGCAATTTCAGCTCACTGCAACCTCTGCCTCCTGGGTTCCAGCCATTCTCCTGCCTCAGCCTCCTGAGTAGCTGGGATTACAGGCACACACCACCACACCCAGCTAATTTTTGTATTTTTAGTAGAGGCGGGGTTTCACCATGCTGGTCAGGATGGTCTCGAACTCCTGACTTCATGATCCACCCACCTCGGCCTCCCAAAGTGCTGAGATTACAGACATGAGCCACTGTGTCCTGCCTAAAATGAATTTTCTAGATGATTGAGTAACAGTAGTCCTTTGATAGGAGATAATGACTTGGTTTATGGCCTTAATACACTACTTAATTACTTAAGATGTTTATTATTAGAATGATAAATGTACAGAGTAACCTATAAGCATGACATACTTCTGCTTTCAGTAGTTTCATGTAAAGAAAAAAACTTGAAAATAGTAATACCTGAGGATCCATGGGAATAATAGACACTGGGGAGGTAGGGTGGGGAGCAGGAGCAAGAGCTCAAAAACTACCTACTGGGGGCTCTGCTCACTACCTGGGTGACAGGATCATCCGTACCCCAAACCTCAACATCACACAGTATACCTAGCTAACAAACCTGCCCATGTGTTCCCTGAATCTAAAATAAAAGTCAAAATAATTTTTTTAAAAAAGAAAGAGACAATAGTATTACCCATGGGGCAAAATTTGTACTATTAGCAAGAATCATTCTGTGTCCCAGTGTTTAAACTTTGACAAAAATGGTTTTGAATAGATCTTTATAACCCGATGCCATAAATACAAGATTCTCTGATACCTTCATTTAATATATCAATATTGGGCCTAAAACAGTGTTCTGTAAAGCTTAAATTGGTATTAACTATGATCATCTTGATGTCTATGATAGATAATAAACAAGGTCATACATACCTTACTAAACAATTTTGGTTTTTCCCCAACGTTTTATTCTTTAAAAGATTTAGACTAACAGAATTATTTAGCATTTCGAGTCGTGTGCTTTATTTAGCAAGTGAGTAAAAATATTGGAATATTGAAGTATTTGCATAAAAAATCAAATGGTAGTGTTTTGTAATCTCTATTGTATTTCCTGTTAAGGTTTCATATGTTACTTTCCCATTGTTCCTGAATTTGTTATCCTATATATAAACAGAAACATGGATGAGTAAAAAAAAAAAAAAAAAAAAAAAAAAAAAAAAAAAAATTATTTTGTTTTCTCTGACTGTGTATTTTCAAATAGCTTGTCTTAAAGCTTACTATTTCTTCATTTTGCTTGATCAATTCTGCTATTAAAGAACTCTGATGCATTCTTCAGTATACCAATTGCGTTTTCCAGCTCCAGTATTTCTGCCTGTTTTTTTAATATATTCTTTTCATCTGTTTGTTAAATTTATCTGATAAAATTCTGAATTTCTTCTCAGGGTTATCTTAAATTTCTTTGAGTTTCCTAAACATTGACATTTTGAATTGTCTGTCTGAAAGGTCATTGATCTCTGTTTCTCCTGGATTGGTCCCTGGTGGCTTATCTAGTTCATTTTGTGAGGTCATGTTTTCCTGGATGGTGTTGATGTTAGTAGATGTTCTTCCATGTCTGGGTATTGAAGGATTAGGTATTTATTGCAGTCTACAAATATTGCAGGTATTTGTAGCCATCCTTCTTGGGAAGGCTTTCCAGATACTTAAAAGGACTTGGGTGCTGTGATCTAAACTGTTTATGTTTAGGGGGCACCCCAAGCCTAATAATGTTGTCATTTTTGTGGTGGCATAGAGGTACCACCTTGATAGTCTTGGACACAACCTGGGAGAATTCTCTGGGTTACCAGGAAAAGACTCTTGTTCTTACCTTACTTTCTTCAAAACATAGAGAATCTCACTCTCTATCTCTTTCTCTCTGTTCTGTGTCACATAATTCTGGGGATGAATTAACACAAGAACTCCTGTGGTCATCACCACTATGACTGTGCTGCATCAGACCTGAAGCCAGCACGGTACTGGGTCTTGCCCAAGGTCTGCTGTAACCACTCTCTGGCTACTGCCTATGTTTGCCCAAGGCTCTGGGGCTCCATAATCAGTGGTGACAAAGCCATCCATGTCTGTGTCCTTCTCTTTAGTGTGGTAAGGTCCCCCAGTTCCTAGGTGGGTCCAGAGTACTGTTTGGGAGTCAGGTACTAGATTTAGTAACCTTAGAAGTTTACTTGGTGTTCTATTTTATGGTGGCTGAGCTTGCACTCAAACCACAAGACGCTGTTCTTCCCACTCTTTCCTCCCCTTTCCAAAGTCAGAGGACTCTTACCTCATAGCTATCATCATCCCAACCCATGAGGAGTACTCTCAGACTGTGGCCGTGGTTCCATTAAGGCCTAAAGTCTCTTAATTCAGCTTGTGGTGAATGCTGTATGGCCTGGGACTCACCCTTCAGAGAGGTGGGCTCCCCTCTGCCCATGTCAGGTTCAAAAATTCCATCTAAGAGTCAAGCCCTAGAATCAGGGGCCCCAAGAACCTGCTTGGTGCTTTACCCCACTATGGCCATGCTGGTACGTAAGGTGAAAAACAAAGTCTCCTTTACTTCTTCCTCTGCTTTTCTTAAGCAGATGGTGCTTTGTCCCATAGCTACCACAGCTGGTAATGTGTTGAGTCTAACCTGAAGCCAGCAAGTCTCAGAGGCTCAATCAGGGCTCTCACTGTAGCACCTGGGTAAGTTGCTTGTTACTCAGCACCCAAGAGCTCTTCAGTTAGCAGGTGATAAATGCTGCCAGGAGTGGATTCTTTTCTTCAAAGAGGCAGGTTCCCTTCCAGCTCAGTGTGTGTCTAAATGTTTTGTCTGGGAGGTAGGGCCTGAAATAGGGGCCTCAGGACTCTGGCTGGTGTCTAATTCTGCTATGGCTGAGCTCATATTCTAGATGCAAGAAAAAGTTCTCCCCCTGTTCCATCTTCTCTTCCAAGAAGAAAGAAGGGGTCTTTTAGGGAGTGGTGAGCTATGCAGCCTCGGGTTAGTGGAGGGATGATTCCAGCACTCCATTGGCAGCCCAGTTGATGTCTCGGTGTGTCATTGGCCCCCAAAGTCCACTGTGTTTGGACTTAGTTGATTATTAGGGCTCACTAAGAGTTGGAGTCCTTATGGCCTAGATTGCTTTGTAAGTTTACTTGTAGACACAGTGTGGTAACCCTTGGTGACAACTAGGTGTGCAGGCACTCAAGTTCAAACCTCTGGGATCTGTGATTCCCCACTGGCTAGGATGGATTTCAATGCACCCTCTGTAGGTGGGCATCAGCTGAATTTAATCTGGTTTTCCTTTCGGCTGTAACAAGACAGCATGGAATTCAATGCCTCACAATTGCTGTGTTCCTCCTCCTGCACCCAGAGATGCTCTCCATGCCATGCCGCTGCCACCAGGGGATAGAAGAGGGGTGGAAACCATGATCCAGGACTGCTTTTTCTATATCCTCAGTGCCTCTTTCAGTGTTATGAAGTTAAAGCCAGGTACTGTGAGTGCTCATCTAATTTTTGGTTCTTAAGAAGGTGTTTGGCCAGGGGCAGTGGCTCACGCCTGTAATCATAGCACTTTGCGAGGCCGAGATGGGTAGACCACAAGGTCAGGAGTTGAAGACCAGCCTGACCAACAGGGTGAAACCCCATCTCTACTAAAAATGCAAAAATTAGCCAGACATGGTGGCCCACACCTGTTATCCCAGCTACTCAGGAAGCTGAGGCAGGAGAATCACTTGAACCTGGGAGGCAGAAGTTGCAGTGAGCCAAGATCAGGCCACTGCACTCCAGCCTGAGCGACAGAGCAAGAGACTCCTTCAAAAAAAAAAAATTTAGGTGCTTTTTCTGTGTAGATAGCTATTAACTATTTTCTTTCTTCATATGGCTAGCCATGTATGGCAATACCATTTATTGAATAGAAACTCCTTTCCCCTTTACTTATTTGTTTCAAATTTTCTGAAAGTCAGATTGCTGTAGGTGTTCAGCTGTATTTCTGGGTTTTCCATTCTGTTCCATTGGTGCACATGTCTGTTTTTGTACCAGTACCATACTGTTTTGGTTATTGTAGCATTACAGTATAGTTTAAAATTGGGTAATGTGATGCCTCTGGCTTTATTCCTTTTGCTTTGGATTTATTTGGCCATTCAGGATCTTTTTTTTGTTTGTTTTGTTTCTTTCCAAATGAATTTTAGAATAGTATTTTTTTTCTAATTCTGGGAAAAAATGACATTGGTAGTTTCGTTGAAATAGTGTTTAATCTGTTGATTGCTTTGAGTAGTATATGGATTTCAGTGATATTGATTCTTCCAATATATAAGTAGAAAATATTTTTCCATTTGTTTGTCTCATCCATGATTTCCTTCAGCAGTGTTTTGTAGTTCTATTTGTAGAGACCTTTCACCTCTTTGGATAGATGTATTCATAGGTATTTTGCTTTTTGTCACTGTTTTAAATGGGATAGTGTCCTTGATTTGACTCTCAGCTAGGACATTATTTGTGTATAAAAATGCTACTAATAATTTTTGTATATTAATTTTGTACCTTGAAACTTTACTGAAGTCATTTATTAGCACCAGGAGCCTTTTGGTGAAATCTTTAAGGTTTTCTAGATGTAGAATTACATTGCCAGTGAAGAGCAACGATTTGAGTTATTCTTTTCCTATTTGCATGTCTTTTATTACTTTCTCTTGCCTGATTACTCTAGCTAGAATTTCCAGCAATATGTTGAATAGGAGTGATAAAAATGGGACCTTTGTCTTGCTCCAGTTCTCTAAAAGAATAGTTTCAGCTTTTGCCCATTCAGTATGATGTTCGCTGTGGGTTTGTTATAGATGGCTCTTATTATTTTGAAGTATGTTCCATTGATGCCTATTTTATGGAGTTTTATCATGAAGAGATGTTGGATTTTATTGAAAGCTTTTTCTACATCTATTGAGACAATCATGGTTTTTGTTTTTAATTCTGTTTATGTGATGTTTTATTCTGCTTGGTGCTATACCCTCCTGTGGCCATGCTGGTACCAAATGTG